>NC_000001.11:53190198-53341713 GCF_000001405.40 Homo sapiens | reverse complement strand
CCTCAGTCCTCACCCACTCCCCAGGAAAGCGGCAAGAGCAGGGACAGCCCAGAGTAGGGGAAACAGCAGGATAGATGTTGCTGGACACAGCCCAGTGAGGAGCCATAAACTGTAAGGGCCGGAGATGGTGCATCAGGGACTACACATTCCACTCACTGCACCCACCCAAGCAAGGGCGGGGAAGAGACCTCAGGGCTTTATTTGTAGGTGGGTGTATTAGTCTGTTCTTATGCTGCTATAAATACATACCTGAGACTTGATAATTTATAAAGAAAAAGAGGTTTAATGGACTCACAATTCCACATGGCTGAGGAGGCCTCACAATCATGGCGGAAGATGAAGGAGGAGCAAAGGCACATCTTACATGGTGGCAGGCAAGAAAGCGTGTGTAGGGGAACTGCCCTTTATAAAACCATCAGATCTTGTGAGACTTAGTCACTATCACGAGAACAGCATGGGAAAAACCCACCCCCATGATTCACGTCCCTCCCACAACACCTGATTGTGGGAGCTACAATTCAAGATGAGATTTAGGTGGTGACACAGTCAAACCACATCAGTGGGGTACCTGGAAGTCATGACATTTCATTCATTCATTCATTCATTCAGCACATATTTATTGAGTCACCACCCTAGGAATGGAGGCTGCAGCGGCAGACACATCAGAGGCCTTGCATCTGGGCCTGTCTACTGGTGGGGACACATCCAGCCCTGTTCTGGGGACTGCCGTCTCGAGACTAGTCGCTGCCACCAAACCTTCCTGTCCTTTCTCTGGTTTCTTCTTCCTTGGGTATAGTCTCCTCTGTTTTGGAGGAGAGCAGGTGGTGTCACCCCAGTGACCATGACGGCTCACAGTGATTGAGAGCTTACTATGTGCCAGGCCCCTGTGACTCAGTTAAGCTTCAGTGAGGTAAGTACTTCCATCATCCTCATTTTACAGGGAAACTGGACACATGGAGACATTGAGCCACTGCCCAAAGTTACACAGGTAGGACAAGTGGCAAGGTTGGGATGTGAACCCAGGAAGTCCCATAGCAGCACCTGCACACAAGACCACAGAGCTATTCCTCCCCTACCGGCTCTGCAGTGTGTGTATGGATAGGTGTGGGGGTGGTGGGTGCAGGACAGGGGGAGGAGGCTGTCAGGGAGTGGGTTTCCAGGACGAAGCAGAACAATAAAATGTCTCTGCTGCCTTGTCTCTTTCCGCTTCTCTCTCCCAATTTCACTCTCACCTCACTTGATATGACTCACCTGGCCTGACAGTTCTCCTTGCTTCGCTCTAATGCCTTCAGTGCCTCCTTGCTGCCTTCAGGATACAGTCCAAGACCCTGGGCTTGGCATTCATGGCTCCAGGAGGCACCCTTTCCAGACCCACTTCTGCCAGGCACTGCCCTGTGCTCTGTGCTCTGCTCACAGCAACATGTGAGCTGCGTCCCCCACCGTGCCTCCTTACCCTACTGTCTGCACTTTGTCCTGTCTGCCCGGAGCACTCTTCCCCCCACTTTCCCTACCCAGCTCACTCCCGTCAGACTTCAAAACAGCTCCAGGCAGCCTTCCCTGGGCCCCAGGTTGGGCTAAGCCCTCTCCTCTGCAGTGTCACAGCCTGGTCTGTGCCATAGCCTTGATCCACTGGGTTGTCACGGTTTCCATCTCCAGCTGCCCCCAAGATGGTTCCCCAATATCACCCAGCATGGGGCCTGGCACAGGGGCCCTGGGTGGACCTGGATTGTGGGTGAGGTTTCAGGGCCCCTGGAAGATGGCTCCACAGGCAGTGAGAAGTGGAGGAGAGGACAGAGTGGGGCCCAGGACAGGTGAGGTGTGGGGTCCAGGGCACAGGGAGTCAGAGTGGCCAGAAGGATCTGGGGACTGGGTGCTCCAGGGCTTGGTTCATTGAGGCCCCAAGGACAGTTACCCAGGCTGGTTCACAAGGTTGTTAGGGTCAAACCACAAACATCCCATGAGACTGTGGCCAGGCTGTGGCCCCAGTATTAAAAACTATATCGATTATGGAGGCCAGGTGCGCTGATTTATGTCTATAATCTTAGCGTAATCCTAGCCTTGGGAGGCTGAGGTGGGCAGATCACTTGAGGCCAGGAGTTCGAGATCAGCCTGGGCAACATGGCAAAACCCTGTCTCTACTAAATATACAAAAATTTAGCCAGATGTGGTGGTGGGTGCCTGTAGTCCCAGCTACCTGATAAGCTGAGGCACAAGAATCGCTTGAACCCGGAGGCGGAGGTTGCAGTGAGCTCAGATCGTGCCACTTTACTCTAGCTTGGGCAACAGAGAGAGGCTTGTCTCAAAAAAACAAACAAACAACAACAATGACAACAAAAACAAAAACAAAAAAACAAAAACACCTGTATAGATTATGGAATAATAGATACATACAAAAGAGATGCATGTTGCATTTTATAAGAAATAAGTTGGCCAAAATAATTTATTATCTACATTAGGACCTTTCTGAGAAAGGAAAGGCTTGCACTGAATAATTATGTTGAGACAATAGATGTAAACCAAGATTGTCCTAGAAATACCAAATGTATGGTCATCATTATGAAGCATTTTAATAATGAACACCTTTGAACCCAACTTCAACATGAGAGCATGACCAATGCTGTGGGCTTCCTCCTTGTCCCATTCCCCTGCCTTCCCTATAGAAGTAACTAAGATCTTAAATTCTGTGACTAATTTTCTCATTAAAAACAAAGAAACACACTTTTATCACCTATGTATGAAAACCTAAACAATATCATTTAATTTTCTTTGTTTTGGAGCCTTACAAGTGTCAAATCCTGTTGTATGTAGTCTTCTGCAACAGGCTTTTCTCACTCCGCATTATAATTCTATGATTCCTTCTGTATCCAGCCACAGCTATGTTAGACTCATTGCCACTGCTGTATAGGATTTCATTATATGGTGATGCCACAATTAATTAATTTTACTGTTAAGGACATTAGGGTGGTTTCCATGTTTTTACCATAATAAACAGCACTGCTATGAATATCCTTGCACCTGTCTCTGGGTGCTTGCATGCAAGTGTATCTCCAGGGTTTACACTTAGTAATGAAATCGCAATATTCTAAAGTGGTTGCAGCAATTTACACTGCATTAGGAGCATATAAGGATCCCTGTTGATTCCTGCCTCTCCAATACTTGCCACTATGGGACTTCTTTTCCATGGAAAATCTTCCTGTGGTCTTAATTTACATTTTCCTGATTTCTATAAGGCTGAGAATCTTTTCTTGTGGTTTATTTTTCATTCATATTTTTCTGCTGTGAAATGCTCATTCATATCTTTTGCTCTTTTTTAATTGAGTTGTCTTCTTACCAATTTGTAAGAATTACTTATGTATTCCGGATAGTAATGCTTTGTGCGTTATTTGTGCTGTAATATATTCTCCCAGTATGTGGCTTGTCTTTTCAACAATCAGAAAAAAAAATTAACTTGGACAAAGAAGAGATTAGGCATGGTGAGAAACACTTCAACAGAAACAACAACAAAACATTACTAACATCCTCAAAGAAATAAGAGAAAATATTGCATCCGTGAGAAAAGAACGAGATACTCTAAAAAAAGGAATAGTCAAAGAACAAACAAAAGGCTTTTGGAAATATGATAAGATAAATTTTTGAAAAACAACAAAAAACTGTTGAAGAGTTGAAGAACATTTCCAGAATGAAGAGCAAAATGGGATGAAAAATAGGTGGAAAAAGGATATAAGAAATATAGAGAACTGCTCCAGGAGGGCCAGTATTTGAATAATTAAGGAGTTCCTGAAAGAAAAAATAAAATCATTATAGAGGTACTTCTTTTAAATTTTCTCCAAAATGAAGATGATTAGTTTGTCCGTGAGGACTCACTGGGTACCCAGCACAGTGAATGGAAATCGATTCACTTCAAGACACACTAAGGCTGAGCAGGCATGGTGGTATGAGCCTGTAGTCCTAACTACTCAGGAGGCTGGGGCAGGAGGATCCTTGAGCCCAGGAGGTCAAGGCTGCAGTGAGCGATGATTGTGCCACTGAACTCCAGCCTCGGTGGCGATGGGATCCCTTCTCTTAAAAGAAAAGACCCACTGAGGACACAGCTTCCAGAAAGAGAGAACAGAGTCTCTAGAAAAGATTAGGAAACAGAATGGCCTCAGACTTTTCAGCAGAAACTGGAAGACAATGGAGCAAGCCTTCAAAATTCAGAGGGAAAAATATTTCCAGTTTAGAAATTTATACCTGGTCAAACTATCTGATTAAATGTGAGGCACTTTTAGAAAGGCAAGGTCTTAAGATTTCACCCCAAACACATCCTTTTAGAAAAGTATAGGTATACATGGGGCCAGGCGCAGTGGCTTATGCCTGCAATCCCAGCACTTTGGGAGGCCAAGGCGGTTGGATCACCTGAGGTCAGGAATTTGAGACTAGCCTGGCCAACATGGAGAAACCCCATCTCTACTAGAAATACAAAAATTAGCCAGACATGGTGGCACGTACCTGTAGTCCCAGCTACTTGGGAGGCTGAAGCAGGAGAATTGCTTGAACCTGGGGGGTGGAGGCTGCAGTGAGACGAGGTCACACCACTGCACTCCAGACTGGGCAACAGAGGGAGACTCCGTCTCAAAAAATAAAATAAGATAAATAAATAGGTAAACAAAAAATAAAACAAAAAGAAAGCTATGGGTATATGTTCCCCCAAATAAGGTAGTGAACCCAGAAGGGGAAGACGTGGGATCTAGGAATTGAGGGGTTCGACCCAGGAGAAAAGTGCAGCACAGTCTCCAGGTGACAACCAGGGCAGCTGGCCTTGCCATCAACCAGTCCAGGACTCAGCAGTCAGAAATCCGAAAGGGAATTCTTCAAGAGGAATAAGTTGGTAGAATACAGTAGTCCCCCATTATCCTCAGGGATGTGTTCCAATACCCCCAATGGAACCTGATTGCCGTCAATCAGAACGTTTCTGTCCGTGTCTTGCACCCACAAATTTAATGGCTTTTCCATCATTACTAAGCACTCATCACACACAGGTGTTGTAACTTTTGCAGCTTGAGTTGCAACAGCAAAACTAGCACAAATTTCTTTCCTTCTTCACGATTTCATGAATAGAATCATTCTTACTGTAGATCTTAGCAACCACAGCATACAATTTTGTTTTTTAAATTTTCTTATTAAGTCAAGTACTTTCACCTTTCTACTTAAAGGAAGTACTTTACAGCTTTCCTTTGGCATATCGGAATCACCAGCAACACTCCTCTTGTGCTTTGGAGCCCATAATGAAGTAAAATAAGGATTACTTGAACAGAAGCACTGCGATCCTGCGACAGTTGATCTGGGAACTGAAGCAGCTGCTGAGTGACTGATGGGAGAGTAGTGTCTATAGCGCGGATCCACTGGACAAAGGGATGATTCACATCCCAGGTGGGACGAAGCCGGACAGCACGAGATTTCATCCTGCTACTCAGAATAGCATGCAACTGAAAACTTACACATTGTTTATTTCTGGAATTTTCCATTTAATATCTTTGGACCGTGGTTGACCTCGGGTAAATTAATCTGCGGAAAGTGAAACTTCGGATAAGTGGGGATTACTGTATTGAATGTGGGTGATTGTAGTAAGAGGAGATTTACACAAATGAGGGAGAGTTTAGGGAGGAAAGAGAGATAAATACATAGAAAGCTAAGAAAGAAATAAAGCAATAAAGCAAAAGGTAACAATTATTAATTCCAGGGAAAACACAAAGGCATGCAGGAAAAAAGTATTAATCATGGCACACTACAAATAGCATTTATTGTATTACGATCACATATAAGTATGTTCAGAATATGACACCAAAAGCACAGACAACAAAAGAAAAAACAGATTGAACTACATCAAAATTGAAAAATTCTGTGTATCAAAGGACAGAATCAATAGAGTGAAAAGGCTGCCAATGGGATGGGAGAAAATATTTGCAAACCATATATCTGATAAGGGGTTAATAGCTAAAATATATAAGAATTCCTACAACTCAACAACAAAACACTAAACAACCCAATTGAAAAATGGGCAAAGGAATTTAATAGACATTTCTCCGAAGAAGATATACAAATGGCCAATAAGTACATGAAAAGAGGCTCAGTATCACTAATTATCAAGGAAATGCAAATGAAAACCGCAGTGAGAAAAAAAACCTCACATTCATTAGGATCTGTGTTAAAACAAACAAAGAAACAACAACCACAACAACAAAAGCAGAAAACAACAAGTTTTGGCCAGGACATGGAGAAACTGGAACTCTTACACATTGTTGGTAGGAACGTAAAATGATACAACTGCTGTGGAAAACACTATGGTGGTTCCTCAAAAAATAAAAACTAGAATCACAGTATGATCCAGCAATTCCACTTCTGAGTATATTCAAAAGAACTGAAGGCAAGGACTTGAAGAGATATTTGTACACTCATGTTTATAGCAACATTATACGCAGTAGCTAAAATGTGGAACCAACCCAACTGTCCCTTGATGGATGAATGAAGAAACAAAATGTGGAACAGATATACAATGGAGTATTCCCGATCCTTAAAAAGGAAGGACATTGTGACACGTGCTACAACATGGATGAACCTTGACGATGTTATGCTAAGTGAAATAAGCCACTCACAAAAGGGTAAATATTGCATGAGTGCACTTACCTAAGGTGCCTAGAGTAGTCAAATTCATAAATACAGGAAGTAGAATATGGTTTCTGGGGCTGGCGGGGAGGAAGGAAGGGGATTTCGAGGTGTCTCACGCCCGTACTCCCAGCACTTTAGGAGGCTGAGGCAGGTGGATAGCCTGAGCTCAGGAGCTCAAGACCAACCTGGGCAATATGGCGAAACACTGTCTCTTTAAAAAGACTTAAAAAAAAAAAATTAGCCGGGTGTGGTGGTGTGCATCTGTAGTCCCAGCTACTCAGGAGGCTGAGGTGGGAGGATTGCTTGAGCCTGGGGCTGGTGGAGGGTGGGGGTGGCAGAGGTTGCAGTGAGCTGAGATGGTGCCACTGCACCCCAGCCTGGGTGACAGAGCGAGACCCTGTCTCAACCAATCAATCAATCAATCAGTCAATCAATAAAAACATAAAAAACAATTTAAAAAATAAAAACTAACCCAAAATAAAGGCAAACAGAAAAGTACTGAGTCTGCCCCCGAAAGCCATGTGACTCAGGGGGTGGGCACCCAGGGCCTGAGCCACCTGCAAGTCACCTTGAGGAATGCCTGTCATCATGGGCAGAGTGGTCAGGGCTCCTGCCCTCCATCTGTCCTGGAATAAACAGGGAGCTCAGAGCTGATGGCCCTTAGAGAAAAGAGACACATCTGGGTGCACAGAGGCCCATTGTTTATGTGAATAGCCATACATTTAATTTAATATGTATTGGAAAAATATAATGAGCATATAAAGCCTGTGATTTCATGGAGATTATTGCTTAGGATGAAGCTAAATCTACTAAGTGAAAGGATTTAAGGGGAACCCTGGGATGACAGTAGCAGGTAAGGGGAAATAGAGAAACTCATTCAAGTGGATGAGAATGGCTGCAGTTATGGGATATACTGACCTAGTTCAGCCCCTCAGGTTAGGGATGGACACCCCAGGCCTAGAGAGGGAGAAGGACCCACTCAGTCTCCTACATAAGACAGTGGAGGAGGAGGCAGTTGTGAGCCCACCCTCCTGAAAGCACACAGCCAAGAGGCAAGAAACCGAGGCTGGGTCTGTCCTGCTTTTCTACGAACCCCTGAACCACCTTCATCCTCTCCTTTCCTCTGCAAGATGAAGGGATTGTGCAGCTAATAGCAATAATGCAGCTAATATTAATGGTAACTGCAGATAATTCTTACAGAGTTCTTACTATGTGGCAGAAACAACCACAAAGGCAATAATAATAGCAATGACTTATATAGTGTGTACTTAAGTTCTTAGAAGGGTTTTTAGTACATAGTACACACTATATAAGTGTATACATAGTTGGCTCGCTCTATCCATGGGTTCCGAATCCTGGATTCAATCAACTGCAGATCAGAAATATTCAGGAAAAAATAATTGCATCTGTACTGAACATGTACAGGCTTTTTATCCTGGTCACTATTCCCTAAACAATACATCGTAACAACTATTTACATAGCATTTACATTGTATAGGTATTATAAATAATCTAGAGATGATGTAAAGTATACGGGAGGATGTGTACAGATTATATGCAAATATTGTATCATTTTCTATCAAGCACTTGAGCATCTGAGGATTTTGGTATCTGCAGGAGGTCCTGGAACCAGTCCCCCATGGATACAGAGGGAGGACTGTATTAATTCATCCTCACAAATCCTACGACAGTGTGTGGCAGCCAGCCTCCAAGACAGCCCCCAGACAGACCTCCTGGGAGTCACAATCCTATGTAGTTCCCTTCCACATAGAATAGGGCTGATCTATGTAACCAACAGGATATTGCAGAGATGAGGGAGCGTGACTTCCATGGTCAGGTCATACAAGACATTGTGACTTCATTGCTTTCTCTTTCTTTGATCTGTCTCCCTAAGGAAAGCCAGCTATGTCAATGTGGACACTCGAGCAGTCCTCTGGAGTGAGCCACATGGTGAAAAATGGAGTCCTCCTGCCACCAGCCAAAAGGGACTTGCCAACCTTGTGACTGAGCCGGCCCAGACACTCCAGCCCCAGTTAAACCTTTGGAAGACTGTGGCCTCACCAACATCTTGACTGCAACTTCGTGAGAGACCCAGAGCTAGACCCATGCAACTAAGCTGCTCCCCAATTCCTGGCCCACAGACACTGGGAGAGATAATACATGTTTATTTCTGTTTGAAGCTGCTAAGTTTTGGGTAATTTGTTTTGCAGCAATAGGTAATTGATAGCATTAGGAAACATTAGCTAATGCTAACAATGTTTTGCAGATGAGGGAATTGAGGCATAAAAGTAACTTGCCCCAGGTCACACAGGTAACAAGTCGTTTAAACCATGGCAGTTTGGATCTATGTAAAGTTCAGTAATAAATTAGAATCTCTCTTTTACAGGAATCAGGACACTTTGCCTGCTCAGAGGGAGAGAGGGAAAGAGACAGAGACACAAACACAGAGAGACAGTGACATGGAGAAGTGCGCCGTGGGCTCACAGTACCATGTGAAGGACTGGGGCTGCCCTTCTGTAAAGTGAAGGCAGTGGAGAAGTGAAGTGAAGTGTAAGTGAAGAGGAAAGTGAAGGATGGTAGAGAGCACCCTTGCCCTTGCAGCCTGGCTGTGTTTGGCTTGGGGCTGCTGGTCTCCGACCCTGGCTGGGCTGGTGACACAGCCTAAGGTACCTGGGGGTGGAATCTGGCACCCCTGAGCAGACCCCTCCCTGGCTCTTGTCCCCCTGTGCTGACACTCTCTGTCCCAGGCTCTCTCTGCCTCCAGACCAGAGCTCCTCCAGGGAAAAGGTGGAGTCTTGTTCGTCTGTGTCCCTCACCTAGCATAAGGCCTGCCAGAGCAGGCTGGGCGAGGTGAACACAGAAGGTCCTCTGGCCCTGGTACTGGAGAGGCATCATCACTGGGGACAGAGTGAGAACCAGGATGATGCTGTTTGTTACTGGAGGAGCTCCCATTGGATGGAGGAGCCAACAACGACAGGCCAGTGTGATCAGGGAGATTGGGACACACAGTGCCGTGGGGGCCCAGAGGAGCAGGGAGGATCTCTGTGGAGGAGGCGAGAAGTCTTCCCAGAGGAGGAGGCATTTGAGGTGAGGCCCAAACGGTAAACAGAAGCCAACCCATGCGGGAGTGTTCTAGGCAGAGGGCATGGCCTAGCAGAGGTCACAGCCTGGCAAAGTTCTGAAGCTCCAGTTCCTGGGGGGCAGTGTGAAAGAGTAGGCTGCTGGGGCTCCCATGGCTCTGGAGACCAACATGGGACTTGGGAGTGGCAGGGTGCCATATTGACAGCAGGTGAAATATCACCTACATCTGTCTCATGGGGAATTCATTACATTTTGGGTTGGGTTTGGGAGTTTTCTTTGGAAACTCAGGGTAGGCAGGGTCTGTAAGCTTGAGTCAGCCCAGGATGGAGAGGCAGGGTAGGGGAGAACCAAAGTCACCTGGGTGGCCGAAGCTTTACCAGGACCTCAGTGTCCATTTGGTGTCTTGTGTGTTTCAAGGACTGAGCTTTCTCCCTTTGCCCCTCACAGAAATTAACCAGTTTATGTGCCCTGAAAAATTCCCACTTCCACCCTCTGGGTTCGCATGCTGGCTCAGTCACTTACTAGCTGTGTGACCTCTCTGCTGCTTAGCTTACTCATCTGTAAAATGGGATAAACACAAAACCTGCCTGATGGAGATGTCGTAAGGATCAAAGAGGAAAAAGAATTTAAAACATTTAGAATGGTGCCTGACCCCCAGCAAGTATACAATAAATATTGGCTATTGTTGTTATTTTATGTGGTTTTCTTTTAACTTTTTCAAGTAAATATAACTTACCTCATGCTTGTTATGTGTCAGGCCTTGTATTTATCCTCTGAAGACAAAGATGAGGAAGACATAGTCCTCCTAGGGGTACAAATCCTTCAATAAAGGCAGAAACAAGCATTGGTCAAATGTGCCCTGTGCCAAGAATCCAGGAATGCAGGAGAGCGGGCTCCTGTCCTCCAGCAGCTCACAGAGTGACGAGGGAGACAGTTGCATAAGCAGACTGTGGCAACACAGGGTGGTCAGGGCTGCGGCAAAGGGAAGCCCAGGGACTGCAGGAGCCCGGGGAAGTGGCCCAAAGTGGGTGGAGGCTGAGAGGAGCCAGAAGGACCTCTGCTGAGGGGACTGTTGAGAGACAAGGATTTGCCCACTTTGGCAACTGGCATCCTTCTCCCTTGGGGAGGTCGGGGGATGCCTGGGCTCAGTCTTGATTCTGGGTATTGGAAAGCCATCAGGGTTTTGTGAACAGGGAATTATGTTTGAATAATAGTAACAATAACTAACATTTCTCATGCAGCTACTATATACTGTATGCTGTGCGTACACAATCTCATCTCATATCCTCACCACAATGCTGTGAGGTGAGTACTATCACCTTTCTCATTTTTCACATTTAGAGCCACAGAGATTGAGTTGCCCAAGTTCACATAACTAGAAAGGGAAGGAACAGACTCAGACCCAGGCAGTCTCACCCACAGGCCCATGCTCTCCATTTCTCTCTTTTTTCCTTCCTTCCTTCCTTCCTTCCTTCCTTCCTTTCTTTCTTTTTCTTTCTTTCTTTTTTTTTTTTTGAGACAGAGTCTGGTCCTGTGGCCCAGGCTGGAGTGCAGTGGCGCGATCTCGGCTCACTGCAACCTCCGCCTCCCGGGTTCACGCCATTCTCTTGCCTCAGCTTCCTGAGTAGCTGGGACTACAGGTGCCCGACACCATGCCCGGCTAATTTTTTGTATTTTAGTAGAGACAGGGTTTCACCGTGTTAGCCAGGATGGTCTCAATCTCCTGACCTCATGATCCGCCCGCCTCGGCCTCCCAAAGTGCTGGGATTACAGGTGCGAGCCACCACGCCCGGCCTCTTTTCCTTTCTTTTCTTTTCTTCATCTGCTGCCTCTAGACTTCGGCCCACATACTAATCTTACAGTTGGAATGAACCTCAGAAATTCCTTATCTCTTCCATTTCCCAGATAAGAAAGTGAGACTGGGAGATAGGATTGACTTTCCTAAGACCACAGAGTGGAGGAGGAGGAGGGACTGAGTTGGATAGGTCAGTTTGGGCAGCAAGACGGGCTTCTATCTTTATCCCACAGTCCCAGGCACCATTGTGCTTGACACAGAATCCAAACTCCCAGCTGTGGCCTACAAAGCCCTGGTGATCAGGGCCTTGCCAACTCCCTCCAGCCTCACCTGAGGCACCCACTCCTTCCCTGTCATCAGGCCCCGGCCCACCTTGATTGCCATTCCCTTTGCCAAGAATGCCCTTCCGCCTGATCTTCATGGGTCAGGATCCATCTTGCCATTCAGTGAAATGTCACCTCCTCTGTGAGGCCTTGCCTGATCACCTCTACAGTTACCCCCATTGCTCTCACCTGGGTCTGTTTTGTTTTTTCCATAGAAGTTATGATGACCTGAAATAATCTTTTGTTTTCCTGCTTTTGTGTGTATCTCTTCCAACTAAGACATAACTGCAGGAGAGCAGGGAGGAACCTTATCTGTTTCCACTGTATCCTTGAGCCTTGAAGGGCGTTTGGCACATATAGGTGAAAGGACGCCTGCATTTCGTTGTCTGTGTGCTAATGGTCTGTCTCCCCACAGGTCAGGGACCTCTCCGGGGCTGGCACCATGCCTGATTCACCTTGGTACCCGCAGGCCCAGCACAGGGTTGGCACAGAACAGGGCCTGAAATGCTTGCTGAATGACTGAATGAACAAGGGACAGGAGGGGTGATGATGGCAGGAGCACCGTGCCGGGCTCTCTGGGGATCTAAGTCCCTTTCTGGTGGGGTGGCCACAGATATTGCCGCTGGGCTGCCCTTTGGGGGACTACGGCTCAGGAGGCTGCTGAGGAGACAGGGTGGTTTCCAGGCCAAGGGCTAACAGCACCTGCCCATCCGCGAGGGAGGTGAAGGGGCAAGAGGGGAGGGAGGGTGGACCTAACACTGGCTCTTGGCACCTGCAGGCCGGTTGTTTTGAGTGGCCAATGCCCTGGAATCTCATTCTCTAAAGAAGGTTGTGTGGGTTGGACCCGGCTCACAAGTCTGAGGCTGAAATCGAATCCCAGCTCGCTCTCCGCACCCATTCTCCCCAGTGTGGGTGAGGCGGGCTGCAGCCCTCCAGAGGAAGAGGTGCCTTCTCCTTCCTGCAGAAGACAGCAGGGGCGGACAGCGCGGGCCTAGGTGCGCGGCCCCTAGCGGCAGGGATGGCATCCCTTCCGTGCCCTCCCCTTCCCCCCCGCCCGGCCCGCCCCACAGACCTCGTCTTTCTCCATCACAGCGAGGATTCCTTGTCTTCCCTGCGGGCCCCCCCTGGTTGCCCCTCTGACTAGGGGCCTGGAGCGTACTTAACGACGATGAATAGTCTGTGCACCAGGCCCAATCCACCTGCCTCACGTCCCCATGATCACATGAGCGTGCAACATGCACAGATGCACATGGCACGGAAACCAAACCAGCCACAGGGATTTATAATATCCCAGCCGGAGCCCATGACAGGTGCAGGGGTCCAGCCCTGCGCCCCCAGCTTCTCCCTGCTCATCCACATCTTGGGATCTCACCCCTATCCCTCCCTCCCCCGCCCCACGCGCACACTGCACAGGCCTGTTCGTCCTGTAACATCATTTCCCCTCCCGCCCAGGCTCACTCCTAGACATCCCTCAGCCTCTGATCCGCCTGTCACCTCCTCCAGGAAGCCTCTGCTGCTTCCTCTGGACCTGCTACCTCCGTGGTGAGGGGCTCGCCTGGCCCATCCCTGCGTCTGCAGAGCCCAGCACTCAGGCGAGCCCAGAGCAGGGCCGTGGAGCGCCCGCTGAGAGAAGAGTGGACGAAAGACAGGAGGGAGGAGGGCGAGGAGGCGGCGGCAGGGGGAGCGTGGGGCGGAGGCGGCAGCGGGAGGGAGCGCGCGCGCTGGCGGCGGCCGCCCAGGGCCGGGGCCGCGCGCCCAGCCTGAGCCCGCCCCGCCGCCGAGCGTCACCGAACCTGCTTGAAATGCAGCCGAGGAGCCGGGGCGGGCGGCAGCGGCGGCGGCGGCGGCGGCGGGGGCAGCGGCAACCCCGGCGCCGCGGCAAGGACTCGGAGGGCTGAGACGCGGCGGCGGCGGCGCGGGGAGCGCGGGGCGCGGCGGCCGGAGCCCCGGGCCCGCCATGGGCCTCCCCGAGCCGGGCCCTCTCCGGCTTCTGGCGCTGCTGCTGCTGCTGCTGCTGCTGCTGCTGCTGCAGCTCCAGCATCTTGCGGCGGCAGCGGCTGATCCGCTGCTCGGCGGCCAAGGTGCGTGCAGCCGGTCTCTGACTCGGCTCTGCTCCGCCCTAGCCACCAACAAAGCGCGGCCGGGAGGCCGGAGCGGGGAGGGGTCCAGAACCCGGGGCTATCGGGGGCTCCCGGGCGGACAGGCTCCACGCGAAGCGGCTATTCCTGAATTTGCCCTCGGCCCCCCGCCCCCGCGGGCCTCGGTGTTGAGGGCTCTGCCCTCTGGGCAGCGGATCTTGGGGGAGGGGTGCAGGGGGGCTTGGCCAGCGGGGAACTTTGCCGGAGGGGCGGCCATTCATGGTTCCGGATGAGCTGTGTGATTCTCGCCGTTGGGGTTTATTTGACACGCGCGCTCCGCGGCGGTAATGAGCAGAGCCGGGCGGCTTCTCCGCTTGACAATGCGTTTCCGCAGACCCCTGCGCGCGGCGGAGAGAGAGGGGGCTGCCTGCCAGGGTGATGTGCCTGCGGCTCCCACTGCGCCTGGCGCGCGGGCGCGGGGACTCCCTATGGGCTGTATCTGAGCAGATCTCTGACTATGGGTCGCGTGTGCGGGTGAGTGCGTCTGAATGGAGGGTATACCCAGGTCGTGTGACACTTTAAGTAGGTGCCTGGTCTCGCCGTGCCACCGAGCGGCCCGACATCCACGGAACCCCTGCCATCGTGCCCTCCCTTTGGATGGAGTGTGCCTGAAGCCCCCGGGGTCTCCATAATCGCCCCCTTTCCTCCTCCCCAGCGGGTCCTTCCGGGTGGCCCGGACTGCATGGTGGGGAGTGGGGCCGAGTCCGCTGATCCAGCTCACGCTCCCTCCCCCTCGCAGGGCCGGCCAAGGATTGCGAAAAGGACCAATTCCAGTGCCGGAACGAGCGCTGCATCCCCTCTGTGTGGAGATGCGACGAGGACGATGACTGCTTAGACCACAGCGACGAGGACGACTGCCGTGAGTGGCGGGCCAGGGAGCTCAGACCCGGGGAGAGAAAAGGAACGGTGGGGGGCACCATGCTTGGCGCGCACGTGGCTGCAGCCGCCGCGCTGCCACCTGCGCGGGACTTGCCGCCGGAGCCTGCGACCGGGAAACCGCCTGGGCACCGCCTCCCTCGGGGCCGGGTGGCTCTTAGCGACCCGGAGCGGGCAGGAAAGCTGGCGTGTCCTGGTGGGGCCGGGGCGGAGCCCCGGGCAGTGTGCCGGAGGAGGAAGGCGCACCATGCTGGGGAGACTGAACCGGAGCTGTGGGCGGGGACGCGGCAGTCCCTGCAAAGGTCTAGCTTCCCGAAACACGGCCCTCTCGGACTCTTGCCTCGGCCCCGCGGGACGCGCGCGTGTTTCAAAGTTCCACGCAGCTCCGGGCCGCACTGCGCTCCTTTTCCTGCTCAGTTTTTGTGAATGAATGGGCTCCCCAGGGCCCCTGATTGGCTGGGCGAGGACCACCCCATAGGCCCCCGTGGCCGGAGCGGCCAATCGCGGAGCAGACGGATGTGTAGTATTCGGGTTCCCTGGGCGCGGGGGCACCGCCCTGCCCTGCCCCGGCCCCGCCCCGGCCACACCCCCGCGCATATCCTTAGGGTGGTAGGTGCAGGCGGGGCTCGGGCGCCGCTTTTCTGCCGAGTCACAGTGAAGACCTTTTTGAGCCACCCTGGTTAGCAGACCGCGCTTTCCTGCTAGCCCTGCCCGGCTCTGAGTCATGTGGCACACCAGGAAGGAGGGTACCAGGAGGGAGAGTTTGTTTCCTGGAAGGGGCCCGAGAAGCCCGAGGCCACGCGTGAAACGGCTGCCGGCCGCCTTTGCTGGGCGTGCGCGACTGATTTAGAAGTTTCTTCTCAGAGTGCACAGGGTTTCAGAGTGTCTGCGGGACCGGGAGCTAGTTAGCAGGCAGTTGTCACGGTGGAAGAAATGTAGCTCCGGGAACAGAAAAACAGGGCTCTCCTAGAGACATAGACCCGGGCAGTCATTCATTCATCATTCGGGAGCATCTGCTGCGTGCCAGGCGCTGGGGCGCCCTCCAAGACAGGCCAGCCCTGCCAGCCAGGGAGCACTGACGGGGTCTGAGGGAGGAGGGCGACAGGTGGACAGGCCCACAGCCCCACACTGCACAGGAAGGGTCACGGGACACTTGGACAGGCACCCTCTCTGTTGAATCGTTTTGGTTTTTGACTGTTTGCCAGTCACCCTCCCGTTCACTTTCAGACCTAACCCAAAGTTGGCTTTGTGTCTTGTGCGTGGCAGAACTAGACTGACTGAGTCTATGTCTCTAGCACATCTTTCCCTCCTGCCTCAGTTTCCTCACCTGACCACTTGGGTTCACATAATTCCTGCCCCAGCAACATCATTGGACTGTTTTGAGGACCAGTTCTAGAAGCGAAATTGGAAGTAATGAGACTAATGTGTGCTGACCATTAACTGTGCCAAGCACTGCAGTAAGTACTTATCTTGTATAAACTCCTTTAATCTTCATAACAGTCCTATTTTAGAGATTAAAAAACAAAACAAACAAACCAACAAAAACTGAGGCACTGAACTGTGAAGTTACCTGCTTAGCAGCTACTGAGTTGTTAAGTAGGAGCCTGAACTTAAGCATCTAACTCTAGAGTTCTTAGTCTAATCATGACCCTGGACCATTTCCCAGTGCTGTTGAGGTTATGAAAATGGCTGTGCCTTGGTAAAATATTGCAGTGAGTTTCCTCACTGGGAGTTGTTCTGTGGTCTCCTTAGAGTGGGAGTACTGAGGACGAGGCAAGGAATAGAAACTGCGTGTCTGGGCTGGTTATGCCTTATCTCCCTGGCTCTTTATAACAACTGTCCTTGTGAGGATGGCTGTGAAAAGCAGAAATTTTCTTGTCATTCTACTTTCTAGATAAGGATGCCTCCTCAGAGAAGTTGAGTGACTTATGCAAGGTCACACAGCTCAGGATGACAGAACTTGGTCAGGATCTCTGCCTGCCTCGAGTTCAGGGCACTGTCTGCTGAGGTGGGGAGTGTGGTGCGGAAAGCACCAGGAGTGTGATCTAGGAGCTGGAAAGACGGGCTTTAAATGTTAGGCCTGGTGCGTTTCAGCTCCATGTGAGGCTTTGGACGAGATGGAGGAGTAAAGTAGCTGGGTGCTGAGTGACGCTCAGGTGGGCCAAGAGAGCTCCAATGGCCAAGCTGGGCTCCTGCATGGCTCTGAGATGCATGGGGTAGAGTCATAGGCAGGGAGTTATTAAACAAAAGTGAATGACGTCAAGCTTGGAGTGGAAAGGGTGGCGGCGCTGCTGATAGTACCAAGTAGTAATCACACATGGCTTGGCTTTTCTGAGCTTGTTTCCTCATCTGCCAAACAGGGGCAGCTGTCCCTCCAACGCTGGCTGTGCACATAGACACACAGGGCTGGCAAGAAGGGAACGGATGGATGAGTGTTCCCACCTCCACGGCCTTTAGAAACGGACTCCTGGTAGCCATAAAGGGAAACTGAAGAAACGGAGTGGGGCTTACGTGGCTGTGTTGGGGCCAGGTGCTGGAAAATGTTCTTTCCTCAGCCCTTCCCGCATTCTAGGCCACCTGCCCAGACTGAATTTCTTTGAACTGTTCTCCCTGCAGGAGAGAGAGCTGTTGGCTCGTCCCTGAGGAGCTCTTTATTAAACCTGGGATGGAGGGGTGATAGGTGCTGGGATAACAAAATCTGCTCCTCCCTGAGCAGTCTCCGTGCCTTACCCCTGACCACCCTCTTTGGCACACCACCCTGCAAGAGGGCTTGAGCTGCCCCACCTTTGTACATCTCTGGGCCTGCAAAATGGGGGTTGGAATTTGTAGATAGAGTCTGCGTGAGGCAAAATGAGTCCAAGTTCCCAAAGGGGCCAGAATGCAGCCCCTGAATACCAAGAGGCTGGAAGGAGGGAACTTTTAAGGAAGCCAAGAAAGGCTTCCTGGAGGAGGAGACTGCTGAACTAGGCCTGAAAGATGGTAACTAATAGCATTCCCCCAGAGTTTACCATTTAAAAACAGGTGGTATTGTTCCTATATTATAGAGGACATAGGCTTGGAGAGGTGAAGTGACTCCCCCAAAGTCACAGAGCTCCTCAGGGTTGGAGCTGGAACTCAAACTGAGGCCTTCTAAGTCCCGAGCCTCATCCACAGTGGCTGGGACTTGGCTCTTTGGAGACACAGATGGAGCTTGCGGGATGGAAGAGGGAAAAGCTCCTGGGGCTTTAGTTCTCAGCTCAAAGAACCTTCAAAGTGGAGGAAGGAGCTGGAAGCTAGAGAGCCAGGCCCAAGGAAGCCCAGCCAGGGGAAGTCGGGTGGGATTCCTGGCTGTGGGCCTGGGTCACGTAGGCCAGCTGGCCCCTGGGCCTCAGTTTCCTGTTGCTCCCTAGTGTCTGGGGGCAGAGGCAGAGATTCCGGTCTCTGGCCTGGCCTTTACTCCCAGAGTCACAACAGTAACCATAGCGCCGATGAACGCTGTCTGGGCACTTGCTGTGGACCGGGCATCGTGCTGAGATTGTCCACACATCGCCCCTCGTTCCTCTATTCTATAAAATGGGGCAACACTATGAAGTACCTGAAATAGTCCTATCTCATCGAGGCACAGACGGGTTACGTAACTGGCCCAAGGGTGTAGAACTGCTGGGGTGTGAATGCGGGTGACCAGCTATGGAACTTGTACTGTCTCAAGTACTGGCTGGTGACTTAGGTAGGTCCTTCCCAGGCCTTCATTTCCCTGTCTTGAGATGACATCTTAAGGCTACTCCACCTCGCTTCCTCCTCTAGGAAGTTCTGTGCTTCTCGCGGAAAGGCTGGGTAGACAGGTGGACCAGTTTTGTGCTCACTGACCTCGACTTTGTTCAGGCTTCTTTGGACTCTTTTGTTATCCCAGCACCCATCACCCCTCCATCCCAGGTTTAATAAAGAGTGGCCACAGGGAGGTCTCCCATGGCTGAGAGTTCATTAGCTGGGCAAGGCCAGGCTGCAGGAGTGCTGAGTCTTGCTGGGAAACAGCCTCATAAATAATTAAAGCTCGGCCACAGCTCCCTGCCTGTGCTGTAGCCCGCATCTGGCCCTCAGTGTGCGGCCTGGACGTGTGCTCCTGACACTGGACCCAGCCTCATCTCCTTCGTGGATGGAGCCATCTGACGACAGTGTGGCTCCTTTCTGAACCTCCCCGTCTTCACCTGACCGGGCAACTCCACCATCCAGAGTCCTCCTGGGGCTCCCAACTATCCAGAGAATAAAGTCAGTGTAGACTCCTCTGTATTTGGCCCTCTGTGACCTGCTCCTGTTACCCACTTCCCTGCAACCTCTTCCCGCCTCTTCCTGTGAGCCTGTGACACCAAATTAGCTTCTGCCACACTCTCACCCTCCTGCTGCTTCTCACCTCCAGGCCTTTGTGTGTGCTATTCCTCCTGCCGGACACCCTGCTCCCTCACTGGCTGGATTCATTTTATCATCCTAAGAGATCCGGTGCAGGTGTCACCTCCTCTAGGAAGCCTTCCCTGACACCCCATTGCCTCCAGGCTGAGATACAGGATTTGAGTTACTTAGAGACCCATGTCAAAGTCACAACTCAGACACACCTGGTTTTTACATCCCAGCTGTCGCCTCCTGGATGAATGGTTGTGAGGATGATACTAGGCCCTCCTTTTCGGAGATTAAATGTGAGGATTAAATGAGGTCACATGCCTGGTAAGCAGGAGGTGTTCAGTGAATGGCAGTGGGTGAGGTTGTTCTTGGTGGGAGGGGTTTCACTGAGGTCTCTAGGTACCTGACGTCTGGTCTTTGCAGGCCAACCCGGACCCCTTGCTTCCCCTGCTCCTGTCTGCTTAGCCAGATGTCGAGGTTCCTGCAGCTGGTGCTCGCCTCAGCCAGGGAGTTGCCCAGCCACCGTAGAGGTGACAGAAAGCTGCTTGGAAAGGAGCTGGGGGAAGAAATGAGTCAAACAGGCCTAGGGCCCTAGGAGGGGCAGCGGATGGCTTCCCTCTGGCTGTGTGCTGGTCCTAGAGGCTGGCTTCTGTCCTGTCTGCTCCTTTCCTCTTGGCTGTGCCTGGGGAGGAGAGGAGGGCCTGCATCCCCCATGGCACTGCCCAGCAGGCCCTAGCAGGCCTTGGGAGTGTTTGCTGAAGACTTTCCCTTGGGCCCTCCCAGGTCAGCATTCCCCGGTGTGAGTCCCTTGGGCCTCAGGGATGGTTGGCTTCTTCCTCCCCAGTTGTCTGCTGGTGGCCGACTTGACAACTTTCCTCCTTGGGGAAATGCTGGTAGCAGGTGAAGCCAGAGAGAGAGAGACCCCCAGGGGGCAGTGAGGAGCGAGAGCCCAGAGGGCGGATGGAACAGGCACGCCCTTGAAGGAAGTAAATGCATGCATGCTCTCCCAGCACCAGGTTAGTGGTCTACTCCCAGGCCCATGCTGTCCCAGGGGGCCAGCACTGGGGTCTGTGGGAGGGTGTGGGGTTGTGTCCTTAGGGTTGTGGAGCCAGGCCTTGCAGCCCCAGGCCTAAGTAACGTTGGTAGCACCTGCCCCCCAAATGCCCACACATCCAGATCACCCAGGCTCTGAAGGCCTGGCAGGGATGCCACTTCCTCCAGAGATGCCTTTCTAGACCCCTGTCCTCCAGCCCCTCAGGCCCTGAGCTCCCACAACGTGTCCTTTTTCTTCCCGCAGTTGCAGATCCTTCTCAACATTGTGCACTCCGCCAGCCTTGTGCTGGGCAGTAGGAATTCCAAAGTCGTTTCCTCAAGGGGTAGCTAATAACAGCTATTGGCTGCCTATATCCCATGCCTGGGACCACGTTGGACAATTCACATCCTTTAACTTCACTACTCACAACCCTGGGAGGGCTAGTTTTTCGTTCTCATTTCGAAGATGATGAAACTGAGGCTCAGAAAGGAGACGGAACTTGGCCAATGTCATGACCATTAAGTGGTGGAGCCAGGAGCTGACCCAGGTCTGTCTGGTCTGGAGCCCAGACTCTTCTTAAGCCGTTCCCCGCTGAGCGCTGTCTACCCTGGTGGGGTCAGAGGCTGGTGCTTGGAGGGTGTGGGAGGAAGTAGGGAGCAGCTGCAGGACTCAGCAGTGCCTCCCTGAGCTACCAGTTTCTGACCTGGGGAGTGGGACTGGGGAGGGACCCTGTTCTCTGGAGACCCCGCAGAGCCCTCACATAGGCCTTTTCCAGCTCCCATGGGGATGACATTCCAGTTTTCATAGGCTTCTCTCAGCCTTTGCCTGTTAGATGCTGATTCTTCTTCTGACTGTATGGAAGGGGAAACTGAGAACCTGATGATAGTGATGCACATGACCTCAGGGAGTGTCAGCCCAGGGTCATCTCTTTTACTCTCTGTAGTAACACGGGGCCTGGCTGCCTCCTCGCACCCAGGCTTAGAAAGGTGAAACTAAGGCCCTGATGGTCGAATTGGCTCCATCGTCAGTAGGGCACCATTCTCAGAACTCAGGTGTCCTCAATTCTGGGTGGGACTGGAGTCAGAACTGTATGTGCTTCCCCCTCCCACCCCCACCCTCTTTGTTCCCTGCTGGATCCGGGAACAGGGTGCTCTCAGGCTGAGGGGTGGACACAAGCCTTTTGCAGTACCGAAGGGCTTTGGGCTCCTGACTGGGGACCTCAGGTGCACCACTGGCCCCACTGGGCCCTGCTTGCCCACTTCTGGATTGCCAAGAAGTCATCTAAAATACTCACGTTAACACTAAGAAGAGTTAGGGAGCGAGCTAGTGAGGGGCTTTCTCATGCAAGACCTCCTTCAGCCGGTGCCTTGAGGTATCATGACTGCATTTCGCAGAGGAGAGAACCAAGACTCTGAGAGATGAAGTCACTTGCCCCGGGTGGCCCCGCTGGTCAGTGGCAGGACTGGGCCATGCCTGTCTGGCTGCAGGTCTGAGGCAGCTGAAAGGAGATATGCATTCACACATCCCAGTCACGATGACAGTAAAGTGTGGCTTGCAGGCTGTGCTGGGGCCTCTCTTCCTTTCCAGGCGTCCCTCTTTGCCAGCACCTGCTAGTGGGTGTGCCAACTCCCTCCTGAGCAGCCCAGCCCCTTGGGCGCCCTCCAGCATGAGCTGGGTCCCCCGGCAGCGGTTTTAATTATCAGCCCTGCTCACCCCAGCTCCTCTCACAAGCTGCCATATGTCATAGACTCCAGTAATCACCCCGCAGCCGGAGTGGCAGGGGAGGGGCTGAGGGCCTTCAGGGGAATCCTGCTCAGTCTTGACCGAGTTCCTCACTGACTGTACCCGCTCTGACCTCTTTGTCTCTGGTGGGGCCCAGCCTAGGTACCCACAATGGGAGAGCCGGGCCTAGCTGCTTTGGGGGCATAGAATGCGGCATGCTCTCAGGCGCCATGGAGTGTCCTTGGGAAACTGAGAGTCACCCAGCGAGCCCAGGGCTGTGGGGCTCATGTGGTGCACACAGTTCCCATGACCCCTCATGGCCTCTACACGCCTGCCCCTTGGAACGTGGCATGTGGCAGGACAGACACCCCAAAGCTGTCTGCCAGTCTGTCTAGGAGTCCACGGGAGTGGTCATTTGGCCCCCATCCTCCCCTGGTCACTGGCCTTGAGGTACCACAGGGGACTTCATCCCAGCCACTCTGGAGGGCATCTTAGTTTCCAGCCCTCTCAACCTGCCGTAATCCTTGGATGGCTTTTCCAGTTGGTGCCTCACAGGTGTGCTCCTGGGAGGCAGGCGGTGCAGGAGTTCATTATGATCCCCATTCCTTGATGAGGAAAACGAGGCTCAGAGAGGATAAGAGACTCACCCAGTTATTGGTAGTTCTGGAGCTAAAACTCACTTCAACTGATTTTACTTATTTAGTTTTCCAGGGTAAGTAACTTCTGGTTAGCTGAAAGTAACTTTACACTTGTAATGAAAAACATAGTTAATAAAGAACAGGAAACGAAGGTTGCAGTGAGCCGAGATCACACCACTGCACTCCAGCTTGGACGAAGGTAGTTCTCACCCTTGCTAGTACCACTATGTAAGCAGCATAGCCTTCTAGAGATTTTTCTCTGCATGTGAGCTCTTGGGCATGAACATATGTATTTTTTTTTTTTAACAAAAATGAGGCCATGTTATGCCGGTTGTTTTCACATATGGCTTTCTATGGCAATAACAGTAGTTCACATCCTTGTTTTAAAGGGCTAGATAGTATTGTATTGTGTGGATCTTCCATAATTTAATGACATTTTCTCCCGTTGATAGATGTGTGTTTGGTTGCTTCCATGTTTTTCCCTGCTCTGTGCAATGCTAGGATGGACATCCTTGAACTCCATCCTTGTGCATTTGCTTGGTCCTTTCTTTAAGATAAGTTCTTAGGAAAGGAGCTGCTGAGTGTGTGCATTTTCATCATTGCCGTTCTGCTCTCTAGAGGGGAGAATCTTTCCCATCTCACAACTCTCTCCCTCTATGGCCCCATGGCTCTCCTTTCCAGCGAGGCAGGCAGCTGAAGGACTTCCCTCTTCTCTGAGCACAGGGCCACCTCATTCTGGTCCCATGGGACAAAGCAGCCATATCCAGGCCACAGAAAGCAAAGCCAGGAGAGAGAACAACGAGCGGTGTTCTGGCCCCAAGGGCTTTCACCCCCACCAAAAAAAAAAAAAAGCAGAAGAGTACAAAACTGTTCCTTCATTCTTCTCAGGATATTGGTAGAAGGCATCTCCTCCGCAGCGTTCTAATTCTTCTATCTATGCCCCTAACTTGCTGTGTGACCTTGGGTGAATGGCTCTCCCTCTCTGAACTTCATTTTCCTTTCACTCATTGGTCCTTATTCCACCTGCACTGCCCCCAGCACTTGGAGCAGA
This sequence comes from Homo sapiens, assembly GCF_000001405.40. Lineage (NCBI taxonomy): Eukaryota > Metazoa > Chordata > Mammalia > Primates > Hominidae > Homo > Homo sapiens. The sequence goes on along the minus strand of NC_000001.11, from coordinate 53,318,040 downwards.
CTCCTGTGCCTGGAGCTGGGTTCAGGGCTGGAGCTGGCCAGTCCTTGCCTAGGGCAGGGATCTGTGCCTTACTACCTGGTGACAGTGCGGGGAGTATAGCTGGCTTGGTGGGCTGGATTCTGGGCAGGGAAACAGGGCAGCTGGACTCCTTAGCTCCACTTCCAGAGCTCCACCCTGAGGCCCAGGTTCCTTGGGTGACTTTCCCTTCTGCCTTCTTCCTGCACTCACAATTGGGCCGGATGCAGTGCAGTGATGGAGAAAAATGGAGTGAGGCCCACCAGCTTCATGAGACTTTCCGAAAGCGGGAAAATGAGCCCATATTCCGGAGGTGTGCGGGCTGAGGAAAGTACTTTGCCCAGAGCCTGGCCCTGAAAATGAGCGTTTCCCTTCCCTTCCTGAGCCTGTGATTCCTGCACAGGGAATGGCTGAGTAAAAGGAACCGTCCTCAGCTTTCCTCCTCCTCCACCAAGGACACAACAAGAGGGCAGCAGCAAAATAGCAGCAGGAGAGATTTAGGTCAACTGGCCAGTTGGGAGGACTTGGCTGCCTGAGAGAACAGCAGCTCCTCGGGCTGGGAGGGACTGTCGGAGCCATCTCATCCCACCCCATCTGCGCTGGGGCCCCAGGGTGGCTGCTTCCTGAGTGGCCCAGTGGGGCTGGTTAGCCAGCCGGGCCTGCCACGGTAGTTAGCCACGTGGGGCCTTGGTTCCCCAGTGGGTCCAGGCTAACATCAGAGACTTGGCAGCTGATGAGAGGCAGGAAGGTCCCATCAGGCCCAGGTTAAGCTGCCCGACTGAATAGCTGGAGGCCAAGGGTGGGCTTTCCTGGTGGCCTGAATCCAGGGACATTCAAGCCAGCACTCCTCCCCTCCCTCCCTCCCCCACTTCCTGGACCCTGAGCCGCCATCTGCTGCCCTACACTCTCAGAGCCCTTTCTCGGCCATGGGCATGGGCACATGTGCGTGTGCTTGGGGTGTGTGCTTCAGAGGAGGGGCTGTGTACCAGGAGGGAGGTGACTATTCTGGACCCGTGGAGGCTATGGGGCCAAGATGACACTCTTCTCCCATACCCGCTAAGTCTGCCCAAACCAAGCCAGAGCTCCCCGCCTCCCCACCAGGCCGTCGTGGTGGGGAATGATTTGTAGCTGGAGAGGCGCCAGCAGTCTCTCTTCCTGGCCTGCCCCCTGCCACAGCAGCCTCTCCTCCCCAGGCCATGTGTGCTCTGGTCCCACCCGGAGAGGGCTGCTTGTTATAAACAGCAGCCTTCCTCCTCTGCTCCCACCTTGCCGAGTGGCCATTTGGCAGATGCTTGCCCCTCTTGGGGTCTCTGCCCCTTGGGAGTAGGGCATCTCCAGCCCCTCTCAATCCCATTCTGTGGAATTCTTTTGTTTTCCCCTAAGAGTCAGGGATTCACATGGTGGGAGTCTGCCATGGCCAGGCCCCAGGTACAGGGTGCTCCAAGGAGCTGGCCCTGTTCTCTGAGGCCCAGGGCTGGAAGCATGGGGGCAGGGGCTGTGAAATCCAACCCCATGGGGCCCCAACAGGAGACATGGCCTAAACCACACAACTGTTTATTAGCAGAGCCTACATCTACTGGAGGCTTTTTACACCTACTTATTTTTGTGCTGAGCTCTGACGGGGCTGATTTTTTAATACCTATGAGCCAGTGAGAGCAGACTCTACATCAGCTGCCTATGCAACACTCTTTTGTCTCCCTCCCCTCCCCATTCCCAGCCTGCCTCTACTGCCTACTGTAGGGGCCAAGTGGTACATCAGGCCAGCGTGGCCTCTCCAGCAGCAGCCAGACCTGGCTTCCAGCTGCAGCTCTCCCACTTCCTGGTTGGGAGGCCCCGGGGCAAGTCCCTTGAATGGAACCCCAGACTCCCGCTCTGAACAACATGGGTAATAAATAATTCCTGGCCTATGTAAAGTAGCAGAAACCTCCTTGGCCCTCAGTGTGTGAGTTCCATGAGCCAGTCGGTTCTTCTTACACCACTGAATTGGACCAAGCAAACCAGGGCAGAGTGGTCTGGCAGCCCATGTGGCTTGAGCCCCTGTTCTCTCTGCCACCTCCCCCACCATGCCTTGCCCTCCCCTCTGGCCCTTGGTCTCTCCCACCCTTGAAGATCCTGTGCTGATGTCTCCCCTCTGTGACAGAGGCCTGATCCCTTGTTGCTGCTGGCTAACTGACCTACCTGGCTGGCTGCCCTCCAGGCTGTCAGCCTCACCTTGTCCCCAACATGCCATGTGATCTGGGTGTATTCCTGCTCTGGGGCTCTGAGAGACTGAGGATTAGATCAGTGGTTTGTGTCACTTGGGGCAGCTTTTTAAATTCTGCCCCAGCCCCTTCCAGGCCCATTTGGTGCGAAGCCAGCTGGGAGGTGTAGATGTGCAAGTCCCCAGGACGGGCCCCTACCTCATCCAGGAGAGGATCTATCACGACATGGATAACAGCAGGGCCCTACCAGGCCGCCTGGGGTCAAGTCCACACCTCACCACTTCCCAGATGTGGGGCCCTAAGCAAATGACTTCACCTCTCTGAGCACCTGCCTCATCTGGAGGATGGAGCCGCCCCTCAAGGTGGTTGTGGGATTGACAGGTGAGTTAACTTCTGAGGCACACTAAGAGCAGTGCATGGTGCATGCGCAGTGCTCAATTCAAGATTGCCTGGGCTTCTTTTGACCTCCTTCTCTGAACCTCCCTCTCCCATCTGTCCTTCAGGAATCCCCATCCTTACTGGGCTGCTGCACTGCGGGGTGGAGTAGGAGGAGCCAGGGAGCCCCCAGAAAGACTCCTTTATCTCCCTTTCTCCCCTGCCGCTCCAGGCTGTCACTTGCTGGCCCAGTTTAATTAGGGAGAGGCCTTCTAGGGACCTCATTAGGAAATGAGCCCAGAGCCTTAGGGACCTTCAGGAGGGGTGGGGTGCAGAAGGAGATTACATTATGGTTGGCCCTGCCTGGCCCCTGGCTTTGTGCCCTAAATATGCCTAGGAAGTTATGGACACTTGGTCCTTTAGTGGCCAGGACACAGGCCTGTGACATGGTGCATGGTCAGCCAGGGCTGAAGGGACCCATGCTTCTATCTCCTACTCCCCCTGGGCTCTGGCCTCACCTCCCAGATCAGGATGGAGAAGGGTGACAGAGGAGGCTTATCTGGTTCTGCTCCACCCAGCCCAGGTGCCCACTGTCCCCAGCGTGGCTCAGAGCAGGCCCTGGTGAAGGTGTTGAGTGAATGGATGTGTGAGCTGTGGGCAGCATCTTCATTAGGCCAAAGCGGCCTCCCCCTTCCATCCCAGTGCAGGAGTTTCCTCAGCAGCCTAGTGGGGTGGAGGTCAGGGGGTCCAATGCGTCCGGGGACTGGGCGCTCACCCACTGACGAAGCAGCTCCCCGCCCCTGGACTGCTCTTCCTGTTAGAAAACCTGCTCTTCTGTCAATCCCAGATCTGTCTCCTGCAGCTCTCCTGCCCTCTCTGATCCCAGCTCTGTTAATGGGGCCTCTGCTTACAGAGTCTGCCCCCACCTTCACGGCAAGCCTGCCCCATGTCCCTTCCTACCTGCATTCTTGCCACAGCCCCCATGCTTAGGGAAGTCCAGCCTGTGACAGCTGACTTGTGGTGTGGGCTCAGATAAGGACCATCCTCTCTGGGGCCATTGCTGCTTTGGCTCCCCTAGCATGGGGCCTGGTGGCGTGCACATTCGCAGGCTCTATAAATGTTAGCTGCATCCTGTGACTTGCCTCCCAGGGCTTTGAGAAGTGGAGGGTGAGGACAGAAATGCCGTGCCTGGAGGCAAAGGTATCGTTATGGACAGCTTGCTCTCCTGGGTAGCAGGGCAGCAGCGCCCAGATCCTGCAATGACTGTGGCACAGCACATAGCACTGGGGGGCTGTGGCTGAACGTCTTCTGCCTCTTGGACTAGGCCGGAGTGCAGGCATTGCCTGGGCCTTGGGCAGGAACCTGGGAGTCATCACAACCCCTCTCTTCCTTCCCCCAAGGCCTCACCTTGAATAGGGGAAGGAAGAAGGTCCCGACACTCACCCTGCCTACCTGCCAGCCTGGGCCTCCCCCGCCCCTGCCACCCACTGCCATGCCCTTCCTGGATCTCAGCAGCAGCCCCTGCCTAGTTTCTGTTCTGTCCTCCAAACCCATCTTCGCTCTGCAGCTGAGTGCTCTGAGAGATGCAAAGCTACACCCTTTCCTCGCTCAGCTTCTGCAGTGACGCCCACCCCTCATAGGACCAAGTCTTCTTAACTGACATTCAGAGCCCTTCAAGACCAGACATGTACCTGTCTCCTCTCCAGGTCTCACCTGGCACTGACCCCAAGCCCCAGGCGTCTCCTGTCCAGCCACACCTCCAAGAGAAGCCTCAGGCCCTTTTGCATGCAGGCCCCTAGCCTGGAAGGCTCCATCTCTGCTTGTCCGGCCTCACCTGACCTCTGGAGTCACCATTTCCAGGGTGCTTCCTCCCCTAGGTGGGTCAGAGTCTCCTCTGGGCTCTCTCATCCTTGTGTTTCCCCACACTCTATACCATGATGTCCTGATTTAGAGTCTGTGGTTCACAATGCAGTCCACAAGCCTCAGGGGGACAGGGACCTGTGGAGGACGGTGGAGGAAGGAGGGGTGGAGGGTGCCTCTGGGCTCCGAGTGTGCACTGTGCCCCTGACCCCTTGCTAGGTTTCCAGCCCCTCTTGCCGCACATGACTGGGTGTGGTTTTCTGTGAGTCCCTGGGAAGCGCCTGCTGTGGACTGGAGCCTTTGGGTCCCAGCTCCAACATTCACTGAGGGTTTGTTCTGTGCCAGGTGCCCTGCCAGAACCTGGGGAGGATCTACAGATGGGAAAGCAGGCCACGCCCTGGGGGCACCAGCCCCTAACTTAATGTGTGACCTTTTCTGAACCTCAGCTTCCTCTGCTGTGAAGGGGATGAGGACCCAAGACCCTTCCCTGTTACCTTGGGTACATCTATGCTGTGGCTGGGATCAGACATGGCCCCGCATGACCCTGAGGCTGCAGCTAGACCAGAACTTGCCCTCCACTGGGCCTCTGGAACACTGGTCCAAGCTTCACAGGAGCAAGGGGTGAGCAGAGGTTTTGCTCTCTTTTCAGCGAAAACGCCCACTTCATTTGCCCAGCACGTCAGCATTGCCATGTGCTTGCCATGCATAAATTGAACACGGCTCCTCGGCTGCTCAGAACTATCCCAGTTTTAAAACTCAACATCCTGCATCTCAGGAACCCCTTCAGTTGTGAGCAAACTGGGACACTTGACCAGTCTAGCTGAGCCCCCAAGCCCTGGCCACTGCTCTCTCAGGTCCCCAGGAGGTCCTCCCCATCCCTTGTGGAATCTGCTAGCTGGGCACGGCTCACTTAATTAAAAACAAAGAAAAAGGCCAGGCACAGTGGCTCACACCTATAATCCCAGAATTTTCGGGAGGCTGAGATGGGAGGATCACTTAAGGCCGGGAGTTCAAGGCCAGCCTGGGCAACATAGTGAGACTCCGTCTCTCAAAAAAAAAAAAAATTAGCCAGGTGTCATGGTCCATGCCTATAGCTACTTGGGAGGCTGAAGCAGGAGGATTGCTTGAGCCCAGGAGTTTGAGGTTGCAGTGGGCTATAGTCATGCCGCTGCACTCTGGCCTGGGTAAGGAAGCCAGACCCTGTCTCAACCCCTGCCTGCCAAAAGAAAAGACTGATTTCTTCCTCACCTTTTGGGAGAACTCAAGAAAGAAACAGAGGATCTTGGAAGGTCTGGAAGAGCAGGGCCAAACATTCTGAGTAGGGAGCTGTGTGGATAGGGCCAGGAGGCCTGGCCGCTGTTACAGACTGCCTCTAGCCCAGCTGTGTGACCTCCCTCCCTGGCCTGTTTCCCCATCTCTGCCCTGCTCACCTCGTATGACTGTGGTGAGAATCATAACATTCATGGGCCTGCCTGTGTTACCACCGCCATTTCTATTCTTCCAGGCATGTGGCTGTCTGTCTGTGTCCCATGTTGGCCTCACTCCTCCCAAGTGGAGGGCAGCACTGAGATCGTTGTTCTCATGATGAATAGAAAGAAGCTGGAGGCGCTGGCCACGTGCCTTGTATGAGTCTCTGCAGTCGACAAGGCCCTTCCCACATGTTGCCTCCAGGCTCATGGTGGCCCTTGGGAGGTGGGCCAGCAGGAATGACTCCACCCATTGTACAGATGGGGACACTGAGCCCATAGTCCCACAGCATCTGACTCCTTAATGGTGGGGAGAAGGGAAGCCACATGGGTGGCTGGGCTGTGGCCGTGGCGTGTGGTGGTTACGAGTGGGGTCACTGGTTGGCTGGTCCTCTTCCCCTCCCTATGCCCACTCTGTCGATGTCTTCATCAGTAGGGAGAGATGGAGACAGATGGAAGAGAAGGCAGAGACAGAGGAGTAGGGAGAGAGAGATGGGGTGGGCTGGGGAGCACACTGGGGAGGCTGGGGGCAGGGAGGGTCCACGCAGTATCGCTCCTTCCTCTGTGGTTCTCACAGTCTGTCTGCACCGATTCCTGACAGATGGAGGGAGGAGAGAGCTAGTGCCAAGAGGCTGTCACCACAGGCGGGCAGAGTTGGGGGAGGGCGCTTTGTGGCCAGGGCTTGTGTGGGGAGGGGAAGCAGCTGGTGGTCTGGCTGCTGGGCCTCCTTGGAGCCCACACCCCAGGAACTGCCAGGGGACAAGAAAGTGGGCAAAGGGTAAGCCCGCCACCTGCCTGGGACTGGCCGTGCCCATGCCCCTGTCCAGGCAGAGACAGCTACCCCTCCCCGCTCCTCACACCCTGCTGCCAGCAGGGCCCTCCCTGTAAACTATGGATTCCTCCTGCGCACCCCTCACTCGGTGTTGGGGGTGGGCAGGGGCCTGGGGACTGGCCCTGAGCTGTGATGGGGGTGGACCAGGGCAGGGAGGCCCCCGGGATACCGGAGGGCATGGCAGCTCAGAGCAGGCTGGGGTCTGGGTCTTGCATCTGCTGGCTGGAGCTCAGCCCTCACTGTGCTACCCTGGATGTTTCCCAAGCCCCTTTTCATGGCATAGGGCCTCCTGCATTTCCTCCGGGCTCTGAAGCATGTGCAGGGCTGGGCAGGCATGACCCGGGGTCGATTTGGCACCTTTGTCATCTCCTGTGTCTTTATAGTATGGCTTTCTTCAGGCAGGACTGGCTTTCATGCACTCTTTCCCAACCCCCCAGTGCCCATCACAGGGCCCAGCACAGAGGAGGGGCCCATTGTATGCTTGTTGAATGAATGAATGGATCCCCCTGCTTGCATACCTCCTGGGATGGAGGCCTCACTCCTTTATACAACAATTGGTTCCAAGATTTTCAGAAACGAAGTTCTTTCTGGTTCTTCCCGAGAGGCTCCATGGCTCCCAGGCTTGCCACAGGGGCCACACAGACACCCTGGCTGATCCTGCGTCCTCAGAGCAGCGCAGAAAAGACCAGAGACCTCTGAGCCAGCCCAGCTCCTCACAGGCTCCTGCACGGCTGGGTCTCCACTGCACTAACCTCTGGGTTGTCAGTAATCATAGGTGTCACATATGGAGCCCTCACTGTGCCAGGCAGCATCTCATTCCATTCACATCAGCCTGTAAGGCAGGTAGTTCTCATCCCCCATTTACAGAGGAGAAAAATGACTTCCTCCAGGTCACACGGCTTAGCAGGAGACAGAACATCTGAGTCAGGAGGGTGGGAGGTGGGCTGGGGTGGGCTGGAGGAAGACCTCCTGGAGCATGGGATTGTGGCAGGGCTTGGGGATACTGGGGGCTTGGCAGGAGGGGGCAAGGCTGAGGAGGGGCCCAAGGGCTTTTCTGGAGGTGGAATCTGCCCCTGCCCCTGCCCCAGCCCGTCTCTTCCCTCTCCCCATGCTGTCTCCAAATGGATCCCTGACACCAAGACTCCAACTGGGGTAGTCCCAGAGGTGAGACCTGTGAACCTGGGGCCCAGAGCCCTTCCTGTCCCCCTGAAGGCCAGGGTGTGGGTATGCTCCGGGGCAGAGCTCAAGGCCGCTAAACTGACAGGAAAGGTCAGTCCAGTGATCCGAGACGTGCAGGGTTATGGCTGGGGGCGTGGGGACTCCCATCTCTGGTGAAGCGTCGGGGTAGGTGGGTGGGGCTGGGCTTCCTTTCTGCTGCTGCTCAAAGTTGGTTCTGCTCAGAAGCATCCTCCCATTCATATGAATAACGGCGATCACTGATGATAAATGAAGGTGTGCCTGCCCCGTGCCAGGGCTGGGCTGGGTGCCCTGGGGACAGCTGAGAGGAGTCGGAGGTGGAATCCATCCTGAGAGCAGGGGCACAGCTTTCACCACCTTTATCTCATCCCCGGAGCCTGACACAGGCTGGGCCCTCAGGGGGCAGCTTAGTAATGCCTTAGTCATTGAAAAACAGGGACCTGGCCTCTCTGACGAGATGCCCACTGTCCAAGGGTACACTGGTCCACAGCATGGCCCCGCAGCCTGACCTCTCCCCTCACCGTGGCTCTCTGGATCCTTCAAGGGGCTCCTGCCAGTGACTGTAGTGGGTGACTGGAGCCTCTTCCCCCAACGTCACACAGCATGTGGGCTGGATGAGCCACCTCCCCTCTCAGTGTCTTGGTTTCCTCTTCTGCACAGGGGCGTCTTGGCAGGCCCTACCTCAAAGGGCTGTTGGCTGGGAAGATTAAATGAGATGATGAGCCCCACGCACTATCATCAATGACGCTTATGCTTATGGGGAGTGGGGTGGGAAGCACCTCTGCTCTCCATGCATGACTTCATGAATTCTTTTTTTTTAAAGATGGAGTCTCACTCTGTCGCCCAGCCTGGAGTGCAATGGCATGGTCTCGGCTCACTGCAACCTCCGCCTCCTGAGTTCAAGTGATTCTCTTGCCTTAGACTCCCAAGTAGCTGGCATTACAGGCGCCTGCGACCATGCCCAGCTAATTTTTGTATTTTTAGTAGAGATGGAGTTTCATCATGTTGGCCAGACTGGTCTCGAACTCCTGACCTCAGGTGATCTGCCCGTCTCAGCCTCCCAAAGTGCTGGGATTACAGGTGTGAGCCACCGTGCCCGGCCCATGGATCCTTTAACAGCCCTCTGAGGGGGGATCTGTCCTGTCTCTTTACTGATAGAGATGGTGAGGCACAGAGAGGTGGGGAAACACCCAGGGTCACGTAGCATAGGAGTGGCAGCAGCAGGATTTAAAAGCGGGTCTCTTGCACTCCAAGGTCCACGTGTTAGCCAGTGCACCAGGCAAGGGATAAAGGACTTAGTGTGAGAGCTCCTTTGGAATTGGAGTTGCAGAGGCTCTGGCTTCCTGTGCTGATCTCCTGCAAGCCTCCAGCCCCCAGTCACGTCTGTCAGCAGCTCTGAGAGCCCTCCTTGGGCCTCTCACCTCCCACATGAGCAGGGAATCAGCAGGCAAGGTCCGGGCGGTGAGGATGGGGGATTTCCCGACTCACTTGAGATCCGTCACATTAATGTTAATTAAGCCTTGTTAATTCAGCCCTCTGCTTACACATGGCTCCTGACAGCAAATTGCTCATAAGTGAGGCAGTAAATTTATTGCTGCTTTTTCCAAACATTTAGCAGCAAAGACGGTGCCCCAGGAAAGGCAGAGGAGAGACCTGGAGGGCCAGTGATGCTTGGTTCCTGCTAGCCTGAACCCCCCAGGATCCTCATGGCCTAGAGAATAAGGTGGGGCTCCCCAGGAGACCTGGGTGAGAATGAAATTCTGGCCTGCTCGGAGCATACTGCCTGGAGATGCGGTGAGCACTGTCTCAGCACTAACTCTCTGGTAGCTCTGTGCTCTGTGAACATCCCGTTCCCTGCGCTGTCCTCCCACAGTGCCTTGAAGTGTGCCCTGCACAGTAGGGCTCAGCAAAGGTGTGTTTGGATTTGGATGTGCAGCCCCGAGCCCACCTCCATGTCAGGAAAGCCTCGCTGCAGTGCAGTCTGATAGGAGAGCCAGCAGCCTCCGCAGGGACTGAGCGCCCTGCATCCTGAGGTGTGCACCTGGGGCCAGACCACTCCGCCAGGGCTGCTGGGAAGGGGTCTCTCCCTGTCCTGGGTCATAGGAGCACTGTTGGAACCAGGATCAGGCTCAGATTCTGGGCCTGTGACCCCAGCCCCTTGCTAGGCTAGGTATCTACTCACCAGGTGAGGGGGAAGCCTCTCCTGGGTATAGTGGGACACCCTCGTCCTAGGTCCTGCTTCCCGCCTTGGCCTCAGACTGGGTCGTGCCTGGACCAATTGAACAAACCCAGGCTTTGGGTACCTAGAATTTTAAAAAATTAATTAGAGCATTAAATGGCAGCCCTCTGGGAGAATCCCACCATCTGGCTGTCATGGGAGAGGCAAGAAAATCTATGCATATTTGTCTGCAGTGTGTGAGCATCATATGAAGCCAACTGTGCATGTGTGGGTATGCGGTCTGTGTGCTGCAGTGTGTGTCCAGCATGACATGCGTGTCTGAGTATGTTCAGTATGTGGCGCACACCTGAGTGTGCAAGTGGGTGGTGTGTGCCTTGCTGTATGCACGGGTGCCCATCTGCAAGTACATGCGCTGTGTGCATGTGCCTGAGTGTCTGCACGTCTGTCTGAACATACCTCTGTGTGTGGTCCATGCTCAGGCCTGCCTTTTTGGTGCAGTGAGCCAGGCTGAGCTGTGTGCAGATAGGGAAGGGGCTCGTGACTCCTCCTGGCTGAGGTGGTGGGCACAGACAGCTGTGTAGAAGGTGGGACGGGGTAAGTGTGGCAAGTGCACAGCTGGCCTTCAGTGGGTGAGGCAGGGCAGGCATCCTTGCCCTCATTTGACAGATGGGAAAACCCAAAACTGGAGCCTGGGCTCTGGGGCTCCCTGCGTGGTGCTCTTTCTGTTCCAGCGGGCTGCTGCCCTGGCTGGCACCTATGCTTTTGGCATCTTTATGCTGTTAGATTTTCATGGTGGCTCAAAGTGGTTCTGAGAGAGTACCACCCCCCCTACTCAGTATTGCTCAGGGGGCAAGGTCAGGATTCCCACTGCACATCCTGTGTTCTTCCTGTTTCAAGGAGGAGATATCAGGGCTGCTGGAGAATGCTGGGCCTGATAGTCCTCTGACTGCTGTGTGACCTGGGCCCATCCTGTCCCTCTCTGAACCTCAGGGGTGATTGTAAGAACTAAATGAGGAGACATATACAAAGGGCTTCGTAAACCAGGAGATGAGGTGAGGTGATGTAGACAGATGAGGGCCTGGCCCAGAGATGGCATCACAATACGATCAGAGCCAAAGCTGAGGCCCAAGTTCATGTGTCCCAGGGTTTCCTGAGGAGCAGGCCAGGAGGTGGGACCCAGGACAGAGGCAGGTGCCCTCCCAGCCTTGCAGACTCTGAACCTGTCCTCAGAACCATCTGCCTGGTGCCAGCACTCTCCTCCAACTCCAGCCCCAGACACATGGCTCATGGCAGTGAAGTAAAGCAGGAACAGACCCAGGGAGCAGTGGGATCCAACCCCTCAACTGGTGTTGACGCTGAGGCCCAGAGAGGGGGAGTGGCTTACTCAAAGCCACGCAGCAGCTCGGGGGGTAGAGCTGGGACCAAAACCCAGGCCTCCTGGCCCCTGGCTCTGTTCTCCTTGGTACCATACCACTGTCTTTGGCAAGAGAAAGAGGACACAAGAGCTAGTTCACATGCCTGGAGAAAAGGATGTGGGAGTGCCACCCAGCTAGACAGCACTAGAACAGACCAGAGCCCCACTTCCTGCATGAATGGAGGATCTGAAGCAAGGCTTCAATGATTACTGCTTTTCCTAGGTATGCAGAATGCTGGAGGGTAAATAGGGTTTGTGTCCTGGGCTGTACATTCTGTATAGATGGAAAAGCCCCAGGCTTCCAGATTGCCTGCATGCGATGCCTTCAGCACACGCTTCCTCAGTGCCTGCCTCCACCGAGCTGCTAGTCTGGTAGAGAAAGATGGTTGAGTGCCACCAACACAGGATGATGAGGCTGTGGATCAGAAGAGGTCTCTGATCCCACATGGGGTCGTGGAAAGCTTCCCAATAGAATAGAGAAGGGGAGGAGGGTCCTCCACTCCCAACTCCCAGAGAGTGAGGAATGTGTGCGCCTCAGACACCCTGGCCCCCTGGCAGTCTGGGCCTCATAAGAGCTCATGCTTGGGCAGGCTCACCGTTCACCCTGGAGTGGGTGGCTGGGTGCCTTCCAGCTTCCTCCTCAGCGCCTCTCCTGTGCCAGGGCCCATGCACGTGGGTGGAGGAGAGGCCATTCTAGAGGCCCCTGGCTCCCTGTGGGGCTGAGGAGAGACTAGTGTGGGGGCAGGGGTGGAGGTGCAGGGAAGCTGGTGGCCAGACCTCCTGTGACCTCCACTCATTGCCTGTGTGTCCAGGTGGGCCAGTCTCAGCTGCCCCGCTTGGCGTTATAACCATTGTGGTGTTAGCCAGGGACGAGGCTTCTGAAGTAGCCTGCACTGTGAGCCCCGCTGGCTGCCAGGTAATAATTCCACCCGCCTTGACCTTTTTCTCCAAGGAACAGGCCTTCTACTTTATACATGGAGAAAACAAGTCACAGAAGAACCAGGTGGCCCAGGATGACAGAGGCTAGGCCTCCAGATGCCCTTTAAAAATTGCAACAAAAACCTCTTAAGGACTCACTGTGTACAAAGCCTGGTGGTGGGGCTGCCACAGCGGCTGGGATAAAGGGAGGAGGAACTTCGGTCACTGAATATTTTCTGTGTGCCATCCCTTATGTCGGGCACTGATAGACGTGATCTAGCAACCAACTGCCCTCCGAGTCAGGATCTACCACCACATTTTTAAATGAGGAAACATGGGCTCAGAGCGGTCAGGTAGCCTGCCTGAGGTCGCTTAGCTAGTAAGGGACAAAGGCGTGATTTGAGTCCTGCGTTCCTTCACCTGTTTTTGTGGGAGAATGGCCATGTCAGGCAGCAGACTGGGATCTTCCAAACCTTAGTTCTGGGAGGAAGGTTCACTTGCAGGAAAAACCAAGGTGAGTGGAATCATCTTCAGGCAGCCAGCAGTGCTCACTGGGCAGGCTGTTTAAAAGTGGCTTCCTCTTCAAGCTGTAGTGGGACCTGTCTTACTGGGGGAGCCATGCTGGCTCAGAACCCCTAGGCTGATGGGCACCCCTCTGTAAGGGGCTCTGAGAAGTGGCCGGTGTGGCTGAGGTCTGGGCCAGGATGCCAGTGGGCGGTGAGGGTTTGCTGGGCACATGACCCCACACCTTTCCTCTTCTTGCCTCCCACAGCCATGTCTGTCCCCTTCTGCCCAGCTCTGGTTGGAGGTGCTGAGCTGGGGCTTGTGGCCATGAACCATCCCCATACTGCTGGCCCTGGGGCTGGCCTCAGATGGGTGGGTGGTCCCGGCCAGAGCCCTGAACCCCGGCCCTGCCAGAACCAACACCTGGAGACATGGCCACCTCCGAAGGTCTTACCTAACTGCAGGGCGTGCCAGCATCTAGCAGGGTCCCTCACGCACAGTTGGCCTGCTGCTTGATTATTTTGGCTTCCAGCAGCAGAGACCTGAGACTTTCCCGGTAGCATAGGAGTCAGCAGAAGCTTGGCCTTCCCAGAACATGGGACCAGAGGAGGTGTCCTGGACAGGGCCAGGTGAGGGGAGGCTGCTGGTGGCCCCTCACTGAGCCTTTCTGCAGTGGGCCTGGGGACCCCCTCTGCCCTGAGCATTTGCCAAGCAGTCCAGTGGCTGCGCGTGGGCCTGCCTTTCCTCCCCCACTTTGGCATGGCTGTCTCCCAGGAAACGGGGAATTTTCCCTCATTCCCATCATTAGGGTGCCAGGGCAAACAAACAGTCTAATCCAGATGAGCCCTGGGCCACAATCACACTCTCTTTGGGGGTTTTCTCTTCACTTGGAGCAATGTTGAGAAGGCTGGAGTAATTGGTATTCCACCCAGGTTAATAGAACTGCTGCCTCCTCGGTATTATGCCTTAATTTCCTTTATCGCTCAGCAAGTTGGAATTCATCGCCCCTTTCCTTTCTTTTTCCCACCGAAACCTATCACCAGCCTGTCTGCTGGGTAAAGTCATTTCATGGCAGCTCTTGGCTCCTTTCCACTTCCCTGGGAGTCTTTCTGACCGAGCCAAAGAACAAGGAGGGGTGAAAAATCCATTTGTACAAAGTGGGGATCTCCTGTTGAGAGCTTATTTCCCTCCCCGTTCAAGAGGAAGGAACGTGTTCAGCCTCCAGCCAGCACGGCTGACTGAGTCCCCTGTCGCTGAGAGCATTCAAGAGGGCGAATGGCCATATGTCAGCGGTGGGAACAGAGGATTCCAGCACTGGTGGGGGTTGGGGGAAAGGGGCAGGCCTTTGCCACTCCTGGTGCCTGGATTAGATTAGAAGCTTCTAGGGTTTTGTTCTGTTTGTGAGTCTAAGATTTGTGATTTAAAACTGGAAAGATTCTGTGGCTCCTTGGTCCTAACGTTCAACGGAATGAGCCTAAGTACTTGTAAATTGTGTGTTTTACGATTCTCAGATCCTGAGACAGGGAGATTCTGTTCTGTGATTCGAAGACTATCTTATGATTCCTCCAGTCTCTTCAGCGGCAGTTTTGTTCCTGACTGGGTCTTGGGAGGAGTGCAATTGCTTTGCTGAGGTTGCCATGGGAGCGCGAGGCTGCTGTGGCCCCTTTTCTCATGTATGAAATCCAAGGGCTGGGCCACATGGCCCTGGGGCCCAGGTGTGTTCAGCCTGCAGCCCCCTTGGCTCCACCAGAGCCTCCCACAGGCCCTGTGAGGACTGGCTGCTCCCCACCACCTCACTGGACCCAGATGCTTTTCCAGCTAAGCCATGCCCCTTGCCTGTCTGCCCCCGGCCCTCTCCCATTCGAACGGGGAGGCAACCCAGCTCTCCCCAAAGTCCCTGTAGGAAAGCTGGAGCAGTGGGGGAGTGGTGGTGGTAAGAAATAAGCCGCATGATTGACAAGAGCTCTACCTGCTTTTGTGGTGATGTGCAATTTCACCATGAATTTCAACATTACAACCTCTCTTAATTCCCACCCTCTGAGGTGGTTAGCCCCATTTTATTGTTGAGGAAGCTGAGGCTCTGAGAGGTTAAGTCACTCACCTATAATCATACAGGTTGTTCCCAGGCCCTGACTCTGGATCACCTGCTGTAGTACGGCTCTAGGCCGCCTGGGCAGCATGATGAAACTGTCTCTACAACAAAAATCCAAAAAAAAAAAAAAATTAGCTGGGTGTGGTGGTGCACGCCTGCAGTCCCAGCTACTTGGGAAGCTGGGGTGTGAGGATGGCTTGAGCCTGCAAGGTTGAGGCTGCAGTGAGCTGAAATACTACTGCACTCCAGCCTGGCCAACAGGGAAACCCTGTCTCCAAAAAAAAAAAAAAGGCATTGATTGGCCCAAGGTCATATGGCTTGAGGCAGGACCAGAACCCAGGTCATCTCATTCCTAATGCAGTGCAAGCAAAGGAAAAAGCGAGAGGTGGACATTCATCATAGAGTCTATAGCCAAACTGAGGAACAAAAACCCTGGGTGTAACAGCCACAACCCAGAACAAAAGGAGATGGGTCTTGGTTAGACTCCGGGGTGGTGACGTCACTCATCTCCCCTCTCTGGGCCTCAGTGCCCCGGCTGTAAAACAAGGACACCGACCTTGGTGGTCTCCAAGCCCACATCATGTTAGGTTCCGGTCTAACGTGAGCCCGAGGCTGGGAATCTGCTTGTTGGGTGGGGGTTGTGGACCACACGCTTACACCTCCCTGTTGGAACCAATCCTGGGGCGGTTAAAGAGCTTCAGAGAATGGACCCCATTTCCTTCCAAACGCACTGAGAAGCCAGAAGCAGCCTTCTCCATCTGCTTTCAGAATCCACCTTTTCCTTCTGGATCAAACATAGTTCCTCGGGGCAGGCTTCCTCAGCCCCTACTACTGCCAGCCAAAATCACCCCCTTTCTTTGAGGACCAGCTTAAAATGTCTCTCTTCCAGGCAGTGAGCCCTCCCCAGGCCTGCCTCCTCTCCCTCCAGCAGACCTTACTCACAGGCAAGGGAGATGCAGGCTTGGAGACCACCAAGGTCAGTGTCCTTGTTTTACAGCTGAGGCACTGGGGTCCAGAGAGGGGAGATGAGTGACGTCACCACCCCAGAGTCTAACCAAGACGCATCTCCTTTTGTTCTGGGTTGTGGCTGTTACACCTGGGGTTCTCCTTTCCTCAGTTTGGCTATAGACTCTCTGAAGGAAGGTCCACCTCTCACTTTTTCCTTTGCTTGCACAGCATTCGGGATGAAACAACCTGCGTTCTGGTCCTGCCTCAAGCTACATGACCTTGGGACAATCAATGCCTTTTTTTTTTTTTAAGACAGGGTTTCCCTCTGTTGCCCAGGCTGGAGTGCAGTAGCATGATCATGGCTCACTGCAGCCTCAACCTCCCGGGCTCAAGCCAGCCGACCACCCCAGCCTCCCAAGTAGCTGGGACTGCAGATGTGTACCACCATGCCCAGCTAATTTTTTTTGGTATTTTTGTTGTTGTAGAGATGGGGTTTCACCATGTTGTCCAGGCTGGTATTGAACTCCTGGGCTCAAGTAATCTGCCTGCCTTGGCCTCCCAAATTTCTGGCATTACAGGCGTGCGCCACCATGCCTGGCCAGTTCATGCCTTTTAAGGTCTTTGCTTCCTAATCTCTTAAAGTGGGTGGTGGCTTCTGCCTCACACCCACCTCACAGCTGCCCTGAGGAGCCAGGCCGAGGGACTGGGGATGGAGTCTCAAACCTGTCACTCAACTCCATACCCGCTAAGGACCCAGGGCCAGTCTGCTAGATTTCTCTTGGGCTCAGGGAGTATCCCAATCAGACAATTCCCTTGTTCCCCAATGCCCCCATGATCCCCACCTCTGAGCCGAAGGTTCTCAGGAGCCCCTGGCTTCAGGGCCCTTCCACTCTCTCCATTGAGCACCTGCCCTGAGCCACGTGCTCTGCTGTCCGCATCACCCAGCAGCACACCTGTCTCCCCTCCCGGAGCGGGTGCTGACTACACTGGCCCACACCACTCCACCCCACCCCCCACACCTCGAGCACCCTCCTTCTGTCCCTTTCACTCTCACCTTGTGAGGTAACCCAGGCAGGCCTTTGAATGGTACACATGAAAACCTGACTCCTCCAATGTCTAGGTGAGGAGGCTGAGGCACCAGAGGGTAAGGGGCATGTCCAATGTCACCCCAGAGGTCAAGGGCAGCCTGGAGGGGTAGCCAGGGCTCCCGAGGCCCAAACTACTGAGACGGTCTGGAACCCAGGCAGGGCTTTGTGGAACTCCCCAGAGAAGCCCTGTGAAGGGCTTTCTCACACCGAGGGCCCAGCTTTCACTAGGAGACTGGGAAGGGTTTGCATCTCCCTGAGCCCTGCTTTATGACAGTGGCCGAGCCACGTGTCACTGGCTTACTGAGCTGCTGGGATGACTTCTGAGCCTAGTCCGGTCTGGTGGATGGCTCCTGAGGTCTCCCCTGGCCAGTGGGGCCGCAGATCTTCATCTCAGCACTGACGGCCAGGGTGGGCACAGCCTGGAAGGGGCTTCCCGTAGGCACTGCCTGGGTCGGTCTGCCAAAATACAGCAGCAAAATAAGCACCCCATGGAGACTCGAGCTTGCTAACGTCCTACCTTTGGTGTTGTGGGCCCTGGCTGGCCCTGGGCTGGGATCCACTCATTTCTGCTCTGTCAGAGGTGGGGGCATTTGGATGGGGGCATTGTCAGACACCATGAACAGCTGATGCTTGAGCTGGCCATCAGGGGTGGGAGAGTTTTGCCCATGGAGGTGGAAGAAGGGCTTCTGGCCTGGGGGAGCTGCGTGAGCAAAAGCACCTGGTATGAAGGCCAATGGCTTGTCCATAACCATTGAGTGGTTACTGGAGGCAGGTGATGGCCAGGGATGGGCCAGAGCAGTAGCAGGGCAGGTTGAACTGTTCCTGAGTGCCCTGCTAAGGCAGTTGGTCATATTCAAGGGGAGATGGGAAGCCAGCAGGCAAGGAAAGATGGCTCTTTGATTACGGAGAGGACTTTGGTAGGACAGTGACTACTGGCTCTGGATTTGTAGCCCCTGGAGCCACAGGAGTGGACTGTAAGGGACTGGGGACCAAGCCACAGTTCCCTCCCTCTGTCAGCCCACTCTGGGCCTGGTGGTGGGTAAAACCATACCTAAAAAGGAGAGGAACTTAGAGCTTATCTCATCCAACTCACCATGCCATGAAAGAAGAGAGCAAGGCACAGAGAAGGCCAGAGACTTACATCAAGGCCACAGAGCAGAGCCAGGCCCTCCAGGCCAGGAGTGGCAGACGGCCCATTGCTAACTCCATTCTCAGTGAGATATTCTTAACCTCTCTCCAGAAAAGCCAGCAGACTCCCTGCACAGGCCTCAGCGATATCACAGAGTGATACTTTAACCTGCAGACCTTCTGCTGGGCACACAGGTGGGCACAGGTGGGCAGAGGCTCCCTGGATGACCAATGTGAGGCTGGGGGTGGCAGAGAGCTCACACCAGCCTCCTGGGCACAGCCTGCCACACACTCCCTGGTGAGGAGCCCAGAGCCCAGCACAGAGGAGCACTCCAGAGAGGCAGCAGTCCCACACCAGGAGATGGATTTCCCAATAACAGGTGCTGCCCATTTATCACCGGGATGGGCCAGTGAGGCTCCTGCTAGGAAATGCTTCTCCTACCAGCCTAATTGGTGAAAGCATTTGCGTTTTTCACTAGCCAGGGCTGCTTCCTAGTGTGTGCAGTCTCTACCTGGTGGGCAGAGGAGAGGGTGCTGCAGCGACCCACTGCTGACATCAGAGGCCTGAGTGCCCTGCCTGCCTGTGGGTAGCAGCCAGGGACCCGCCACCCCTCCCCACACAGGCAGGGGTCATCACTGAATCATTTGCTCCACACAGGCAGAGGTCATCACTCAATCATTCGCTCCACACAGGCAGGGGTCATCACTCAATCATTCGCTCCACCAGAGGAGTGTCTGCGCCTCGTGGGTTCTTGAATCCCTCGGGCCTGGCCTCCTTGGCCCTGGCTGCAGAGTTCTGCTCTGGGAGCCCTGAGCTTCCCACTTACAGTTAGTGGGGGCCGAGAGCCCAGAGAGGCCTGCCCCTTGTCACACAGCGTGTTGGTGGCAGAGCAGGGCTGGAATGAGATCTAGAACCTTCTCCTCAACTGCAAAAGAAGAAGCGGAAGAGCTGCCCCTCCTTCCCTCAGAGGGCTGGTGGCAAGAACAGGGCCTGGAATGCAGGGGTCCTTGGCAAGCTCCAAGGTCAGCCTGCCCAAGGGAGGCGGAGCTGTGGACCCATCAGCCCCAGGGGGCCTGGCTGGGGTTAGCCAGGAAGGTGCCCTGGTCAGAGGAGGCCACGTTTCCACTGGGGTAGGAGTGGAAGGGGAATGTGAGGCTGGGAGCCTGGCAATGACTCTGGCTGGAGGGCCTAAAGGGTCTCCTGGCCTTGCCTTCTGGCCTCTGGAAGCTTCTACTTTAAGAATGTCATGAGTTTTCTTCTAGCTGTTTCTCTGGAACCCACAATCCCAGTGCCAAAACCCAGGGTGGGGCTGGCTGGAGCCTGGGAGAGGGCAGGAACGTGGTCATCTTCTCAGCGTGCTGCCTGCTCTCAGCAGCACCCCTTGCGTAATGCTTGGTCCCTTTGCAGGCGCCAGCCAGGGACTCCTGCTGATCCCATCCTGCCCACCTCTCCCCCATACCCACCTCCTCCCAGCCCCTCAGCTGTCACTCGTTCAATACCTCCTGCAACCACAAATCACTGGGACAGGAAGACGCCTTTGTCGGTCTGTCCCTCGGAGACGCTCTTCTTCCCTGTGGTGACAGGGAGGCCTACATACCCCAGCAAGGGCTTGGGCCTCCCTTGGTGACAGTGGGGCCAGGGTCCGGCAGTATCTGAGAGCAGCTGGGATGTACTGGGGCCTGGAGGAGGTGCTTGGTTGTGGGAAGCCCCAGATGACCTCTTTGGAAGGACTTGGAACAGCACCAAGATCCACAACCCCTCCGTGTGACGGGGTCACTAATCCAGAAGGTCAGCTGGAGGGGGCCCTTAGAGATGTGTTCACCTGAGGAAACTGAGGCCCAGAATGGGAAGGGGTGACACTCCTTCCACCGCTGGGGGCCCTGCTGCTGCCTCCCATTTTGTCTTTCCTCGGGCCTCCTGATCTTTGCAACCTCATTTTCATGCCTTGGTGTTTTGGGGCAAAGGTGGACCACTTGTTTCATGTTTGGACCACTTGTTTCTTGGGAAATAAATAGATTTATGGTCTTAGGATCTGGCTTGGTTAGAATTGTGTAACTCCTTAGTGGAATGGGTTGGAGGAGAGAACCCAGAAAATTTTGAGGGAAACTCTTCCCGATTTGAAAGCAAAGCCGCCCTCACCAAAAAGTGCTCCTTCCGCTGCAGCCTCTTCATTCCGAATGGGGTGAATCCTTTGGCTGGAGCCCTTCGTGTGTCTCCCTCCTCCTCAGCACCTGCAGCTTCTCAGTCTCCCCAGGTGGGATGGGAAGGTGGGGGAGAGGGCGAATTTAGATGTCGCCTGCTGATGGATGATGGTGGCTTGAGCCCCAGAGCCCGCTGGGCAGTACAAAGCCACGCACCGAGTCCCGCCCACCACACGCGGGTGCTGGCTCCTGCACCCTACTGTCAGGACACTGTGGGAACCGTTCGCCTTCTGGGAACCGCCGAGCCTTGAGTAGTCAGAGACTGTCCGCATGTGGACTTCTGGACTCAGATAAACAGTTCCTTTCAGGGAAGGCATCAGAGGCTGCCATCCGCAGCTTATCGACATCTCCGACTCTGGCGGTAGCTGTCATGGAGTCTTGTCACAGGGGCTTAGGGTGCAAATCAGAGTGTTACAGCCTTAGAACCGTAGGTCCCTAGAGTGTCAGAAGCAGAGCCATGTGGAAGCTGTTTGCAATGTTATAATGGACCCACGGGATCTTTAAACTGAGGGCTTTAGGAACATCACATGTCCAGGGAGGGGTTAGGATTTGAATCCATTGCTGCTGGACCCCAGATCTGCTGGCGATGGAGGATTTGAATCCAGTGCTGCTGGACCCCAGATCTGCTGGCGATGGGCTCTGGGCATCACCCCCACCACCACTTCCAACCGTGCAGCTCCATTTTAATCTGTCTTATATGTTGGGGGTTCACTTGGGAAAAGGGTTCCTCTGCTTAAAAATAGTTTTCCAGGCCCTGTGCTGAGCCCCAGCTCCATGCCAGGACCCGCCACAGCCTGAGAGGGTGGCTCTGGTAGTGGGACGGCCGTCAGGCCAGGGCCCCCGGGTGGGGTGCAGGTTGCTCTGGGCCACGGTCTCCTCCCCCTCTCATTACTGCTCTGTCGTTGCTGCAGCCAGAGAACACTCTGGGTCTGTCATCCTGTTGACTGGGGTGACAGTTTAATAGTAGCTTCCTGGACTGTCATTTAAATCTGCCTGCCAGGTTAGTAGGCCAGGGGCGGGCTGGCACGCCCCCTGCCCCCACCCCGGATCTGCATTCTGCTGGAAGCGGTCGTCTTGGCAACGCTGGGGCATGGCGAGCTCTGTCGAAGGGTAACTGTTGGTGGGAGCAGCCCTTTCATCTCCCCGACCCGGGTACAAGTGGCCCAACTGCCTTAGGGCCAGAGCCAGGCCACCCTGTGCTGGCCCAGGCCTGGGAGAGGAAGTGGGAACATCCAAGTCCCTTCTGTGCACCCAGCTCTCCAAGTTAGGGGCTTTACCTTTGCTCTCAGCCTCTCAACTGCCCTAGGAGGGGAAAGAACCTGCCCCAGCTTGCTGAACAACAATGTTGAGCTGGAATCCACCTTTCTTAGGGGTCGCTGCTCTGCCTTCAGAGAACATTCTCTAGAGCCCAAGACCTGTCCACAGAAACCAGAGATCAGTCAGAGCCTGTAAGGCTGACAGCTCCCTCATCTCCCTGTCCTAGGTGGCTGGGTATCAATTCTCTCTGTTCTTTCCAGGGCCTTTCTCTAGACGTGTCCCTGCTCTGAGGATTGGGGTCTCCAGTGGGGTCCCTGCAGCTTCACTCTGGGCTCCATGCTCTGTGAACACTTTGTTCTATTTTTTATGGCCTAGTGGGGCTGGCCCAGAGACAGACGGCTAAGTACAACTACCAGGCTGCTGTGTCAACACGGGCTAGTCCCTCCCTTCTCTGCACCTCATCTAATCATCTGTAGGATGAGAGGCTTGTGCCCCAGCAGTGTTTTCCTAGGTGTGGTTCATTGGACCACTTGTTTCTTGGGAAATAAACAGATGTGGCATCTGAAAAAGGAGTTCCTTGGTTAAACAAGCTTGGAAGGCTGGAGGAAACCGTCAATCAGATATCTTTACTGCAGTCCTTCCCAGGGCCTTTATAAACCGTGGGCATCATGCATCTCCAAGGGGGAAAATAATAAGTGTCTATCCCAAATATCCTGGTGCATGGCCACCCCTGGGCTCTGTCCTGCCCCCTACCCCTCCCCTCCTCTGCTAAGGGCCGATTTTCTGTCTTGCATGGCCTCACGAAATCCCAAAGGAAGCTCTGGCAGCCTGGAGCCCTGGGTTTTTTTGGCTGCTGGAGAGCAGCCCTGTGTTTAGCAAGAGGCTGGATGGGTCCCTGGGCAAGCTCAAGGAAAGCCAGGCCCCTGTGCTGGGCCTCTGCAGGGCAGCTTTGTGCACAACTTGGTGAACAACTCCACCAGGGTCAATTGTTCCCTGGCCTGGTGGAGCTCCAGGTCCCTTGCCACTTGCCTTGTCCCCAGCCCCTAATGGTCACTCTGCTCGCTCCTCCATGCCCCTAAGCCCCATTATCCTTCCTCCTGGAATGCTCTTCCCTGCTCTCTTCACTCCCACAGCTTGGCTGACTCCTCTTCCTTGAACACAGTGCCCCTCCTCTGGGAAGCCTTCCCTGACCCCTGGGCCAGGTCAGGTGGCCCTCGCCTGGCTTGCTGGCTACAAAGTGGGATTGGGAGTCATTACCTGGGTTCAAGTGCAGCCCTCCCACAGACATGTGCTGTGGCTTTGAGCAGTCACTTCTCACTAGGCCTTGGCTTCCAGGCATGTAACATGGGAGACCCACGTAGGGGGCCTCAAGACCCTGGAGTCCAACACGGCAGGACATTCGGATTGCCAAGAGGAAGCTGCACAGAGCAGTGCCCCTGGGCAGCCCGGACTAATCTTTATTTTGGAGCCTTCTCTCTGCACCGGGGCTCCACGATGCGTGTGGGTGGGGAGCAGCATGGGAAGGATGTATACTGTCTCAGGGAAGGATGTCTCTGGAGGCGGGGGAAGCCAAGAAGTGCTGAGTGATTCTAACAGTTTCACAGGATCACAGACACTGAGTGTGGAGAGGGCCTTAAGACTTAGTCAGCGCCACACCTCCATTTCCTGATGAGGAGGAGGCAAGCTCAGAAGGTTTGACGGATGGGCCCAGTGTTACACACACGGCAGCTGGGGCCAGGGCTGTGACTTCACACACCTCTAACTTGCACCTTTTTGCTTCTCAGTTCATAAAGCCCTGGGGCCATCCTTAGCTTATTTGCTTCTCACAATGACCCTGTGTGTCCCGTGAAGCAGACGAAGAAAGTGCGGCTCACAGGAGTCCTGTAACTTGTGTAAGGTCACATAGCCTACAAGTGGCAGGGCGCAGTTTGATAGACCATGGACTGTCTGGCACTTTCCTTGGCCCGTGTTCTTGTTATAAATAGCATTTCCCACTTCCTTTGTCCTGGATTTCCCACTCTCCCCTACTCTACCCTGGGGTCAGCCCCTCCTCACTGCCCCTAGAATCCCCTAGTCCTTTGTGGCAGCCCATCTGTTGCCATGGCACCAGATTATGATGTCGCAGACCCTGGTTGACTATGTATCACTCCTGGGCTGAGGGACTCACAGAGGTGGGCATTGTCCAAGGGGCAGACTGGCATGGGGGGACATAAATCCCTGGAAACAGGGAGCCATGGCCTTGAGCCCAGCTGGGGAATCACCCTGGGAACCAGAGCCAAGGCCAGCAGAGTAGGGGTCTGGCATGGCTTTCTCTGACAGCCTTAGAATGGCGGCACAGCCCTCATCTCATGGCAGGGCTGATATGGTCTCTTCACGAGGGACTATTGGGCTCATTGCACTGAACGGCCTGACACTGGGTGTTCACCAGGATCCCCCAGAAGAGTCTTTTTGCCTTTTGTCCTTGTGACAAAGCTGCATGGGAAAGCCACATCCCCACTTGCCCAGGTTCACCCCGAGGTGGCTATGCCAGGAGTCAGTCTCCACTCTGACTCCAGATCCTTCCATATGGTCACACTTCCAATGGGGCCCTCCAGCGTGCTTTAGTCTAGTCCCCACCCTGAAAGTGCTGTCCATTAGCAGAGCAAAAGCCGTCCCAGGCCTGGGTTTATTCTGCTGCACACTTCTGGGCACATTCCAGGAGACCTGAGAGATGTTTCAGTACATTTGAGGACTCTCTGGGGTCCTCATTCTTAGCCTGGTAACACTGAGGTGGCTGAGGGTCTGAGTGGAAAGAGATCAAGCTTTGGCAGCTGCCACACACAGTTGAAATCACACTTCTGCCACCTAACACCCTTACCTCTAAGCCTTAATTTCCTCTTCTGTACAATGGGATTAATAACAACAGCTACCAAGATAGCTGTGAGGAGTCACTGGGATATTGGGTGAAAGGTGCCAGGCCAGAGCCAGAGTGGAAAATCTCCAAGCTGGTCCAGCCAGTGAACAAATCTGTTCCCAAAAACACCACCGAATCTGTTGCCAAAAACACCACTCTCCCTGCAGCTGCCATTTCCTGGGCGGGGCTGACCTCAAAGCTGCCCTTTGGGACAGCAGTGGTGTTTTTGGCTGCTCTGGCCTCCTTGCCCAGTGCCTGCCAGGGCTTGGCACATGGAGGAGGACAAGATCACCCCCAGGCTTTCAGAATCCCAGGGAGGGCAGGGTTTTTGGGGGGTATCTGGTTGTCCTGTGCCCAGCAACAGAGCCCCATCATCACCTTCTTCAAGCCTGCCCTGCTGTTTTGGGCACTGTCTGACCACACATCCTTGCCAGACTTGCCTACTTGCTCTTAATTCCCAGAGACTGGGCTGGGCTGATTCTGTGTTCTCAGTGCAGAACGTAGAACAGAAGCAAGGTTCATTGAATGTGGAACTGAAGCTTGCACAGGGCTTTCCCACCTGCTGTAAGGTTTTTCTTCCACATTTGGTACTGCTGAATGTTTGACTGGGGAGCCGTGGTGGAGATGAGCAGGCATCTGACTGTGGGTTCAGACTGTGACCCTGCTCCCCCCAGCTGTGACCTTGGACATGTAACTTAACATCTCTGGGTCTGGATTTCCTCATATGTCAAATGAGTACATAGCAGGCCCCCTGCCATGAGGTTTCTTGGGTAAAAACACCTGGCAGAGACTGGCACAGAGGAAGCACCTAGTGAGTGTTAGAACGAGAAAAAGAGAAAACTAGGATATACGTTTCTTTTTTTGGATGCTGAGCTTCTTGTGGGGGGAAAACCACTGGTGTTCACATTAGGAAATTCCCCAGGTGCTGTGGTTCATATTGGTACTTACTTTAAGATGATTATGGACTATGATTTACCAATAGGTGGTATTCGCATCTATCATTGACGATGACCTCTCAGTGCAGGAAACAGGGAGGGCCTCTCCAGAGCCCTGGGCTGAGAGGCAGGAGAGCTGTTCTTATCCCTGCCATGCTGTATTTCCCTCAGCCAGCCCCTTTCCCTTTCTGGGCCTCAATCTACCCATCTGAAGGTGGACTCTGATTCCTCAGGTTTCTTCTAGTTCTGCACGTACAGAGGCATTCTTCTAAGCAAAGTGTGAAGAAAACTCATCTTAGAATGCAGATGTACTGCAAAGATTCCACTGAGAAGGACAGACATGGAACAGATTCAGAGACACAGTCTCTCTCACCAAATCCTTGCCAGGCTCCCCAGAGGAGGGGGAGCAGGCCTGCAGCCCCAGAAGCACCCAGAGGGCCTGTGGGTAGATTTGAATAAAGGTGGTCCATGGGAGTGGCTTCCCAGGGAGAAGGCAAGCCCCAGAACTGTAAGTATGGAGCAGAGGCTGGGGGGCTGTGCTCGCATTTAGCTCAGTGTCCCGCACTGAGACCTACCCCAAGCTGGATTCTTGCTGAATTTGACAGTCTCTGTGCTGCAGGGACAGGGAAGAAAGCAAACCATGTTGGACTCGCAATCAGTGATGATCTAGAGCAGAGGTCATCAAAATACAGGCCACAGGCCTGGCCTGTCACCAGTTTTTTGTAAATAAAGTTTTATTGAAACATAACCATGCTCACTCATTTATCTAATGTCTCTGACTGCTTCTGCCCCATAGTGGCAGGATTGAGTGGTGTGACCGAGACCATTTGGCCCTCAAAGCCTAAATAGCTACTATCTGGCCCTTCACAGAAAAAGTTTGCCAACCTCTGCCCTAGAAGGACATTCAGGGGATTGTAGGAGCTCAGGAGAGGCTACTGATCAAGACTGGAGGTGATACTTAAGCCCAGTGTGTAATGGAAAGAAGGTGAGAGGTGGGGGAAGGGGCTTTCAGACTAAAGACAGCTTGGGCAAGGTATGATGGTATAAAAAGCATGGAGTATATGAGGACCCACCGGCAGTTGAGGTGGGGCTAGATTGGGAAGTATGAGGAGGGGAAGATGAGGGAGCGGGGCAGGCTGGGGCCACGGGACTTCTAAGCCCCTGGGGAGAGGCCACATCCTAGTGGCCCCTGATGTTAAATCCATCCCAAGCTCATTCCAGGGGAGGACTTTGGTGGTCTGAGCGCCCCAAGGCCTGGGGTAAGTCACTGCTGTGCTGAGGTATCCTCTTTTAGGCTGAAAAGAGACCCCCCTGCCGTCTTCATTTCTGGGCCTCCTGGTCTCGAACTACCACACCTGAAAGCTTATCTCTCACCAGATCACCCTCTCTTTTCCTGATGAAGAAGCTGTAGGCCAGAAAAGGGCCATGATGTGCTTGAGGATACAGAGCAAAATAGCACAGCAGTGTCTCAAATCCAGACCTCCGGACTCCCTGCCCAGTGCTCTCTTCCTCACCTTGTTCTGTAGCGGGTCCTGGATGCTTGGTCCAGCAGGAACAGGGCATGTGTGAGTTCAATGCAGATTTGATGCAGATGAGCCCCCAATAATTCAGAGGCCTAGGGCTGCTACAGAGGGTGCAGGATGTCAGGGGTGGAGCGCTCAAGGCCCCTTCCCGGTCTCCAACACCCCCGCACCCCCACCACCTACTGGGGGTAGCCAGGCAGCCTCAGTTCCCCCATGGAAGTCCTGACAGGGCAACTGCTCTCCCCCGGGCCTGCTAGGTGCGCCCAGTGCTGTGCTGCTGCTTGGGAAGAAGCTGGGGCACCTTATGACATGGGCATCCATCTCTGTTTCCTCTCATTGATCTGGAAACTCTAGTTCCTCGTAGGACAAGACACAGAAGGCAGTAAAGAACCGGGCTGGGGATGGTACCTGCATTCTTATCTCAGCTCCGTAACCAGCTGTGAGCTCTCAGCCTGCTACATCCCCTGTGTGGACACAGAACCCCATTCCTTCAGCTTCTAATTAAGACTCAAACCCTGAAAACAACAGTAGCTGCCACTTCTCCAGCATCTGCCATGTGCCTGAGTCTGCTGCAGGTTCTTCATACATTACGACTTCTTGTTGCTCCTCCTCACCGCCTTTTGTCTTCTTCTCCCTATTATATAGATAAGAAAATGTAGGCTCAGAGATTAAGGAACATCCTCAAGGTCACACAGATAGGAGGAGGAGGAGGAGGAGGAAGTGGGATTGAGATCCCCAGAGCAGTGTGGAGGTCACCCTGCAGGCTGTAGGCACCGGGGGGCAGGGACTGATTTGGGTGTCTTGCCCAGTAGATCCTCTTCCGACTGCTCTGAACACA
Organism: Homo sapiens; assembly: GCF_000001405.40. Taxonomy (NCBI): domain Eukaryota; kingdom Metazoa; phylum Chordata; class Mammalia; order Primates; family Hominidae; genus Homo; species Homo sapiens. The sequence continues at coordinate 53,290,175 of NC_000001.11, read as the reverse complement.
AAATACGTCATTCATCTTGCCACAAAGGAATCATCTATGTGTAGGATTCATGATCACAAACTCCCCTGGCGCCTGCAGAAGGGACTTTGACTTCCAGTCCAGTTGGGGAAAGTGGGACAGGCAGGTAAAGAGACTGAGAACTGGCTGAAGGAGCTAAGGCAGCTGCTGTAGGGTATCAGGGAAGGCTTCCTGGGGACAGTGGCAGTGGAACTAGACATTGAGGGGAAGCAGGAGTGTGGTGGGGTATGATAAATCTTGTCATGCTTGCTGGGTTTGAGCTCTTGGACTTGGAGGGCAGAGCAGAATGTCACCTGTCTTCACGCAGTGTTCAGATGCCTAAGGAATGAAGAAGCTTGTCTCTCCTGTCCTCTGCCCTTGGTCAGCAAGGCAGTCCATGGCCTGGTTTGCAGACCAAGCACATCCTGGTCGGCCCACCACCCTCCTGACTGCTCCCAGGCTCACCACGCTCTCTTCCTTGCCCTGCAGCCAAGAAGACCTGTGCAGACAGTGACTTCACCTGTGACAACGGCCACTGCATCCACGAACGGTGGAAGTGTGACGGCGAGGAGGAGTGTCCTGATGGCTCCGATGAGTCCGAGGCCACTTGCAGTGAGTCCTGCCCCTCAGTCTGGGTGGGGGTGGGCCTCAGTTTCCTCCTCAGATCTTCCTTGAGAGGCTGTGAGGCTCAGGAGAGGTAACCAGTTGAACATTCTGTGCCACGCACTCAGGGCGCTCCTGGTAAACAGATATATTTAGTTGCTGGTTTCTACTGACCTGTTTCTGGACTTTCTTCACAGCCCTCTTGTAGGTTGGACCCTGTTTCTGTGGCAGCAGGAGCTAGAAACAGCCCTGTCAAGCCCTTCTGCCCAGAAGGAGCCCTAGCGTGTCCTCCAGGCCTCCCTGCTGCTGTTCTTGAGGACCCCGACCATAATTCCAGGAGTGCCAGTGGCAGCTGGTGCTTCTTAAGCCTTTATCGTGTGCTAAGCTCTCTGTGTGCATTAATGCCTTTGATAACCACAGCAGCCTCATGAAGCAGATACTGTCATTTTCTGAGTTTTGTAACGGAGAACACTGAAGCTCAAAGAGGTTGAGTGACTTGCCCAAGGCTACCCAGCCAAGACTTTGAGGCTCTGGCCCGTTCCTCTACCCTGGGTGGGCTGAGCCTAGGAGCTCCTGCCTCCATGGCCAGCTGGGTGGTAGCAGAGGCAGGCAGGGGGAGGTAGAGGCCAGAGCTGAGCCCCAGGCCTGCCCCCTACACTCAGGGCTTTGTCTCTCCATGATTTATTTTCCAGGCCCTAATCCTCAAAGCAAACTTACACCCGGCAGGTCATTCTGTGACATTTGTTAAATTAAAAAGGAGATGAGAAGGGGGCGGGGAAGGACCCAGCAGTCCAGAGGCAGAGCTTCAGCAGCGTGAGCCCGAGACAAAAGGCTCAGGCAAAAGCATGTGGAGGATAGTGGGGCTGGCGGGGACCCAGGAGCCCCTGTTTAGGGGTAACAGTCGTCCCAGAGGCAGAGGTGGGGACAATGGAGACCGGAGTCCCATCTAACGCCGTGGCTGGTGATAACTGGGTTTCCTTGTCTCCTAGCAACAGAGCTACCAGTCTCCACATAAGAGAAAGAGAAAGGGAGAGAGAGAGAACAGAGCAAGAGCGGCCCCCACCCGAGACAAGGAGCCCTCATTTCCTCGTACAGCTGCTCCTGGCCTCCCCAGCCATGCCGCAGGCCCCATCCTTTCCTTACCCACCACGTGGCCAAACTCCATGCCGTCCTGAAGGCTCCCAGGCAGGAGGGAAGCCCAGTGCTTTGTCCTGAGCTTCAGAAGGAACAAAGCCCTGCCACGCCCACTTGTGACTTTCATCCTCTTGGCAACCTAAGGAAGGAGGAGGATCCCCATGTAGAGAGAAAGAAACTGAGGCTGGAGTCAGTTCTCCCCCTTGCCCAAGGCTGCCCAGCTAACAAGAGGCAGAGTCGTGTGCAGCCTGGAGTGTGTGCTTGGGGAGGGTTTGTGGCCACAGGGAGCTTTTCCCTCACTGCAGTCAGCCAGCTCCTCCATCCGTACCTCACTCCAGCAGATACTCCGACAATGGGGGCAGAAAGGGAAGGGAGAGGAGCCTCATCGTGGTTATCAGAGGGGGCTGCCTTGCTACCTGAGGGCTAGGCTCCCCTTCTCCCCCTGCCCCACCCCCACCCCCGTCTCTATCTCTTTGTGTGGATGTCCCTTTTCATCTTCCATTCTGTCCCCTTCGGGGTCCCGCCCACCCCTGCCCTCTTGGGCTGCCTCCCTTCCCTGCTCATCTCCTATCCTCACCCTCCCTCTCACCATCTCTTCTCACTGCCCTACTCATGTGTCCCTCTGTCTTTTTCCCTCTTGCCCATCCCAGCACCTGCTGCCTTCCCATCCCCTGGGCTGGGCAGGGGCCCTCCTGCCTCATTCCTCCTGCCTCCCAGGCCCGCTTTTCACAGTTGAGGGACAACAGGAGGCCCAGAGAAGTTGATAGACTTCCTTCAAAAACACACAGCTTATCCATGGCAGGTCTCCCTTTTATGAAAAAAGGCTCTTCGAGCTCTCTGAGGTTTCATAAGGCGTCTATGGGAGCAGTAGCCAAGGCAGCACCCCAGGAGACAGAAGCCCAGCTCTCCTGTGGGCTCTTCCAGCTACTCACTGTGAAGCCCTGCATATCTTCCCACCTCCCTCTGGGCCCTGATCAGTAACACTCCGGAATTCCAGAATCTTCTCCATTCCTAGATTCCTAAACTCTTAGTATTCTGAGACCCCCTTTCCCCCTTGCTTGTGCTAGCTGGGGTGCAAGAGCCATGATACCCACTTCCTGTGTTACATTGGTCGGTGTAGGCAAGGCGGAAGACTGCCTGGAGGAAGTTGGCTAGAGTGGGAGCTCTGGTCAGGGTCAGGCAGAATTTGGGGCAGCAGGACCTGATAGCAGGCTTGCTCACTGCTTCCCAACTGAATGAGAACCTAGCAGCCAACCTGCTATCCATTTAATTGGTGTTGCCATAGCAACCTCCACGGCCCACCAGGTTCCTGGGGCTATGCCAGCTCCCAGGATGGAGCCCCATTCCCTACCCCTAAAAGAAAGATTATAGGCAGTAAAGTGTAGTGAGTTTGGGATTGGATATAGTTGGGTTCAGGTCTTTTAACCTGTTAGACCTCGGGCAAGCTGCCCAGTCATCCTGAACCTCAGTTTACTCATCTGTAAAATGTGGTAATGGTACCTGCCTTAGAGGGATTGTGAGAATCAAATGAAAGAATGCAAGTATCATCGCTGGAGTAAATGGCAGTGTTATTTGTATTATTATATTTTGGCTGCAAGCCCCCTCTCCCCAACACAACAGTGTGTTAGATATTAAGATGTTAGATTCTTACAGTGTTAAAATAGTGTCAGTGAAGGGAGTTGCATTGAGCGGGAAAGGGATTTGAGAGAAGGTCCCAATTCTTGTGTTTTCCCCGATTATGTTGTCTGTCCCTAGCTGGCTGGGGTTTCTCCCAGCTCTGTTTCCCTCTGGTTCTGTGTTCTGTACCTATCAAATGTAGCCAGGAGTCACAATGGAAAAGCCCAGAACATTTGCCTAATGGCAATAGCATTTCAGCTCTAATTATAGCTCACTTGATTGGGGACGGCTTCTGACCCACCTTCAGGCTTCTGTTGGGAGGGGTGAGGGTGGGGGAGGGGAGGATGGTTCAAGGTGAGTTATAGTTCTGGATGCTATTTATTTGAATATGGAGGCTTTTTCATGCATCTTAGAACCTTTCCACCTGGGAGGGGGGCCTCTCTGATTAACCAGGCTCATCTTGCTATTATAGATCAGAAAATGGAGGCCCAGAGATTTTCTGAGCTCACTCAGTAAGTTAGGGACTGACCCAGCTAGCAGCATTTTGCCTGGCCTTGACTGAAGGAACTTGGTGTAACTCCCCCTTCTGCACCTTGGGTGGCCCCATGCTGTGCTTCCTGTGGATTGAGTGACACTGGCAGTTCTCACCACCGGAGCCTCTGGTCCCTTAGAGCTGGCAGTCCCCATTTGGAGGTTATCTGCCCCTGAAACTCACGTGGGTTGACACTGTAGATGCGTTCCCTCAATGGGCAGCCGCCAAGTACTTTCATTCTTTAACAGACATTGCCCTTTTCGTTAATTTGTGAATTTATGAATTGGAGAAAGTACCAATGGATTTGAATTTCTGGGGCAGGATTCTCTGGGAATTTAAATGCCTTTAAATGCCGTGAGCCACTCCAGGATACAGAGTTTCATGAAAAGCCCCCTTGCCAGCTTTGGAGGGTTCCTGTTGTCTGAGAGACAGTGGGATTCTTCACTCCTGCCTCTCAGAACCTAGGGTACTTGGAGAGCAGGCCAAAGGCATATGGTCCCCTCCGGGGGCATCTGTCACAGAGGGAGTGGCTGTCCTGGGATGGGGTCTGCATCGCGGTGGACCATGTGGACTTATAATGTGCATTCCCCAGTGGTGACAACAGGCACGTCCCCAGCCATTGGCATTTGCACTTCATGAAATAAAACAAGGGCAAGTGTTTTCTGAGCTCCTAGTTTGTTCCAGGCTCTGAGTGTAGGGATTTCCATATGGTTCCCCTTTTAAGCCATCCACCAACCCTAGGAGATTATTCAACCCCATTTTCAGATGAGGGGAGCCAGAGTGCAGAGAGGTTCAGTAGTTGCCTAAGGACCTTAGTTTTAGTAAATGAAACTTGGATCCAGGTCTGTCTGACTCTAAAACCCAGGCTCTTTCTCCTACATCATGCTGCTGGGGGCCCTTGGGCTTCAGTTATCCTGAGAGTGGACATCAGATGGCCATCGTGCAGAACCTGCCCAAAGGCTCAGTGAGTCCCCTTCCTCCAGTGACCTCTCTCTGGGCCAGTGGTGCCAGGGAGACCAACAGGGTCTGCTTGATTCTCTTGTGCAGTGGTTAGGTGCAGTAAGTTAAGCACTGTGTTTGGACCTGGGATGGAAGTCCAGATCTGCCTCTCACCACTAGCCTTTGAACAAACAACTTACTCTTTCTGGGCTTTACTTTCTTCATTCATAAAATGGAGGTAAGAATATCCACTTCATAGGGTGATACCATGTGTCAGTCATTACCCAGACCAACTTCCCAGGACTGTGGAGTAGAGAGGCCTGACCTGGGACCCTGCGAGCCAGGCTCAAGTCCTACCTTTGGGGGAAAGCTACATCACAGGAGAGACAGTGAGGTTCCAGGAGAGACAGGAATTGGAATACCCAACTGCCAGTAGCTGTGTGACCCTAGGCAGGTCCCTTTTGCTCTCTGGGCCTTGGTCTCCTGCCACTCCAAGGGATGTTCATCAGTGTGACCTCTGAGATCTCTCAAGTCCTGGCATTCCAAGAGCCTTGGCTCTTTGAGGGTGGAGGGCTGTTATCAGGCACTGCTGAATCCTTGAGAACCTATAATTAGAGCTGTCTATTTAGGGACACAGCAAATGTCTTATTAATTATAAAGAAAGGAAGCAGACAGATTGTTTAATCATTGTCCTTGCTGAAAGGTTATGCAATTAACTATATAAATATTCATTAAAAGTTCAAGCAGCCGCTTGCTGCACTGGGGTCTGTAGAACCTGGAGGTCCACCCTGGAGGTGGAGCGTACAGCCAAGGGCCCTTTCTGTCACCTGGGCTTTTGTGAGGAGAGTTTGGGGATGGTTCTGGAGCATGCAGGATTTGATGGAAGGGCAAGGCTCTAGTCATAGGAACCCAGGCTCGGTCTCTCGCCTGCTGTGCATCTTTGGGCTAGTTACTTGGTCTCTCTGAGCCTCAGTTTCCTCATCTATAAAATGGAGTGCTTACGTGCAGGACTGCTGCCCTGCTGTAGTGCAGTAAGTGGCCCAGGTATGTAGTAAGTAAGTGGCCCAGGTATGTAGTAAGTAAGTGGCCCGGGTATGTAGTAAGTAAGTGGCCCGGGTATGTAGTAGGTAAGTGGCCCGGGTATGTAGTAGGTAAGTAAGCGGCCCGGGTATGTAGTAGGTAAGTAAGCGGCCCGGGTATGTAGTAGGTAAGTAAGCGGCCCGGGTATGTAGTAGGTAAGTAAGCGGCCCGGGTATGTAGTAGGTAAGTAAGCGGCCCGGGTATGTAGTAGGTAAGTAAGCGGCCCGGGTATGTAGTAGGTAAGTAAGCGGCCCGGGTATGTAGTAGGTAAGTAAGCGGCCCGGGTATGTAGTAGGTAAGTAAGCGGCCCGGGTATGTAGTAGGTAAGTAAGCGGCCCGGGTATGTAGTAGGTAAGTAAGCGGCCCGGGTATGTAGTAGGTAAGTAAGCGGCCCGGGTATGTAGTAGGTAAGTAAGCGGCCCGGGTATGTAGTAGGTAAGTAAGCGGCCCGGGTATGTAGTAGGTAAGTAAGCGGCCCGGGTATGTAGTAGGTAAGTAAGCGGCCCGGGTATGTAGTAGGTAAGGCCCGGGTATGTAGTAAGTAAGTGGCCCGGGTATGTAGTAAGTAAGTAAGTGGCCCGGGTATGTAGTAAGTAAGTGGCCCGGGTATGTAGTAAGTAAGTGGCCCGGGTATGTAGTAAGTAAGTAAGTGGCCCGGGTATGTAGTAAGTAAGTGGCCCGGGTATGTAGTAAGTAAGTGGCCCGGGTATGTAGTAAGTAAGTAAGTGGCCCGGGTATGTAGTAAGTAAGTGGCCCGGGTATGTAGTAAGTAAGTAAGTGGCCCGGGTATGTAGTAAGTAAGTGGCCCGGGTATGTAGTAAGTAAGTGGCCCGGGTATGTAGTAAGTAAGTGGCCCGGGTATGCCACTTATGTGATGACCTTTGTGAATGGCACCCCCGGAATTTGCACTGGCAGCCCGCAAGGCCTGCTTACCTTACAACAGACATTTGTTGCTCACAGTTCTGGAGGGTAGGAAGTCCAAGATCAAGGCACCGGCAGTTTCCGTGTCTGGTGAGGGCCCGTTCCTCATAGACTGCACCTCCTTGCTTCATCCTCACGTGGTGGAAGGGGCAAGGAGGCTCCCCCTGACCTCTTTTGTAAGAGTACTGATCTCATTAAAGAGAGCTGTACTGTTATGGCTTAATCACCTCCTAAAGGCCTCACCTCTTAATGCTATCACATTGAGGATTAAGTTCCAACATGGATTTTCAGGGGATACCAACGTTCAGACCATGGCAGAATGAAATGAAAAAATATAAAATTTTCAGCACAGAGCAGCCTGACACAACTTAGGTGTTCAAAAACTGGGACTCCCCTCCCCCTCCCTTGAGAGGTTCTGTTTCCTGAGGCCTGGCTTAGGGATAAGTAGTTGCTTTGACCTTCCATCCCATTGCTCTCTTAGGGGCTTGCAAGTGTATGGAACATCTGTATCACTTTTATCGTAGTGAATTGAAAAGAGATGAAACATCCCTTGTCTTCTATGCTTGCAGAATGTTAACCAACCCAGGGGTTCCCAAATAGAGGTGCATGGGAATCCCCTGGGTTTTGGTGGGGAGTTACTAAAATGCAGATCCCTAGGCTCTGCCCTAGAAGTCTAGATTCAGTCAGTATGAGCTGAGGCTCAGGAACCTGCACTTTGAGTAGCTCCCTCACCCCCCACCCTTTGATGAGAGGACCCCAGCAAAGCACTGGTCAGCTTCAGCTTCCTGTGTTCCAGTGGGGCCCAGAGGGGAGGTGCTTACCTGGGGTCCTGCAGTGTTGGTGATAGAGGTACCCTGGAAGGACCCCATCTCCCAACTCCCAGTTTCCCTTCACCACCCTGCACTGCAGCCCCAAGGTGGCCTTATATAAAAGGCCTTTGAGGGTTAGTACTTTCCAGAGCTCAACCTGACAGTTATTTGCTCATCCATCCCACAAGTCTGCCAATCCTCGAGCAAGGGAAATTTCTGTGAAATGAATACCAGGAATCCTGTATTCCCAAGGGATTGCCCTGTACTCATGAAATGCATTCCTAGGGATAACGTTGGGGACCTCACTTTCAGGGGCCTAAGATGCTCTTCTCCCATGGCAGTAGTGGTGTCCAGGGACCTTGACTCAGATACCTGCTCCCCTCCCCAACTCATCTGTGCCCTTTTCTGTATCCCTTGTGGTCTCTCATCCCAGCTATAGAAATGGGAAGAGGAGAAACTGGTCTGAGATCAGAGAGCAAAATGGAGGGCGAAGCATGAGTAGCCCACTGCCTCCGGGGAGAAATGGATTGTGCTGAGTCTCCGGCATCAGACACAGCTGACTTTCAGTCAATCCTAACACTGCTCTTTATCAGCTCTGTGACCAGAACTTAGTGCCTACCACCATGTTTGTCACACAGCAGTGCTCAAATACTCAGTGAATAAGCAAAATTCAGAGTCATCTGGTATGTGTGGATAATCATAGTAGGTAACATTTAGTGAGCACTGGGCTGGGTGTTCTTCTAGGTGCTTGCTTTACAGACATTAACTTAGTCATCATAACAATCCTATGAGAGATAGTATTATCCCCACTTTATTGGCACAGAGATAAGGATTGTTGGCCAAGGTCACATAGTCAGTGAGTGATTGAAGTAGGATTTGAACCCAGGCAGCCAGGCTCCAGAGCCCATGTTCTCCGCCTCTATGCTGGAGGCCAGCACATAATCCTCTCACCCTGCTGGCTTATTGTGAAAATTAGATGGAAGTGTCTAGCACCATGCCTGGCACATCCTAGAGACCACGGAGGTCGGGCCTCCTGCACACCCTGGAAGGCTGAAGGGAGCCAACCACGGAGGTCTGAGATGCATCTGCCTTGGCTGAGCCTGTCACATGGGTCCAGCAGAAACTCATGATAAGAGCTGTCCCCAGCCTTGAATAGGGTTCTCATTCTTCCTTCCAAATTGAGATTCAACCCTGGGGCTTCAGGCCCCTGATTGAGTCAGCCTCTGATTGCGGCTGCAGTAATTATAGCTATGCAGTCCCGCTGGGCCCTGCCATGCAGCAGCTGCTCTCAGCAGCAGGATCAGCACCATCACTCGGGGAGGGGGCTTAGAGGCGGGCCGATTGGAGCCGTTGGGGCCTTGGTGAGCCCTCCAAATTTACAGGTTCCAATCATGGAGTCACTGATCTGGAAGGCAAACTGAGGCCCAGCTGGGGCATATCTCACCTAAGGGCACACAGCTGGGAAATGGCAGAGAAGAGTGCAGGGCATGGTGGCTCCATGTTGCCAGAACTTAAAGTGGAGGTTTGGAGGGATGGGAGGTGTGGCCAGGAGGGGCAGGCAGAAGTCAATGGATCAAAGGGACTTGAGGGCCAGGGACCAGGGGGCCATGAAAGATGTTATGTAGAGAAGGGTCAGATTTAGGATTTGAAAATTCCTGGCACAGACAGAGGCTTCTTCTCAGCTGATGAAACTGAGACATGGGCCAGAAGAGCCCTGATGGACTCCTAGGGCCTTGGACCAGATGGCTGGAACAGGGTGGTAGGACTGGTTGGCACCATGCCCTGTGTCCCCCTTGGCTAAGCTATGCATGGACGTCTGTCTCCACAGCCAAGCAGGTGTGTCCTGCAGAGAAGCTGAGCTGTGGACCCACCAGCCACAAGTGTGTACCTGCCTCGTGGCGCTGCGACGGGGAGAAGGACTGCGAGGGTGGAGCGGATGAGGCCGGCTGTGCTACCTGTGAGTCTGGGGTCAGATCTCCAGGGTCTGCCAAGCATGGTCAGGCAGCCTCAGGGAGTGGCAGCCACTTCTGGGGAGGGGGCCCAGTTCCCCGTGGGGCTTGGTGGTGGAGAGGAAAGGATAACGATCAGGACACTAGTAATGGCTAGATTCTATGGAGACATGGTCTTCTTTCATCTTCACAAGCACCTCATGAGCAGCCATTATCATCCCCATTTTATAGGTGAGGAAACTGAGGCTCAGACAAGGGAGGAAAAGTACCCAAGGCTGAGTGATGAAACCAAGATTCAGATTCAGGACTGGACAGCAAAGCCCATGAGCTTTTGTTACCATGTCTGACATCTGCTCATCCATCCCACAAGTCTGCCAATCTTGGAGCAAGGGCAGGGGGACCAGGGAGGGTGCTGCGTGGAGAAATGGCGGTGGTCTGAGCCAGGGCGCCAGCAATGCTGGGGGGAGGGGGACGGATTCCTGAGGTGTCAAGGACGACTGTTGCTGAAATCTCAGATTCAAGCACAGACGTCACAGGGCAGAGAAGACATTCTCAGCAGCCTCGGCAGGGACAGATGGAAGTGGTCACTGGGACAGTTCCACATCACTGAGCTTCAAACACAGGATTATCTCCTTCCCAGGGAGCAGGCCAGCAGGGCCTGGGCCATTGGGGAGCATGGCCAGGCCTCACTTTTTCAATTCGAGGGGCACCTACTGTGTGCCAGGCCTGAAGCCAGGCTCTGAAAGGGACAGTGAGGTGAATCCTACACAGTCTTCCCTCTGGGAACACATGATTAGTGGGGGAGACAGACTGGCTGTCGCTACTAGGCTGTGCGGCTGGGCTGAAATACGGGCGGTCACCCTGGAGGGCTTGCCAGGCACTTGCCCATCACTGCTGCCTACTCCCCTCTGCCAGCCTCTATATTTGCATCCTATCCATCTTTCCTGGCCCAGGGAAAATGCCATCTCCTCCAGAGGTGTCTGAGTCGTCACACTTTAAGATTCTAAGTCTGGAATTTGATGTGTCTGAAGCAGGAAGCATCTGGGTATGGAGGGAGATCCTGGCTGGGAACAGCAGTTTCAAAGTCCCAGTGATGGCACTGGCTCACTTCCTCAGCTGTGATAATTTTGCTGGGACTCACTGGCCAATGAGAATCCTCTTTCCTCTTTACCAAGCCCCATAATCAGATGATTCCTCCAATATGAAGGCCGCTACTGCAAGGGATGGGAGTCTCTCCAACTAGGGCATGTTGGAATAGGAACATTCCCCATTAATTATGGGAGAGAGAGGTGTCAGAAGGTCTTACTGGGCTTCTATGCTATAGCTTCCACCCTCCTAGGCAGAGGAAAGAGTCCTCCCACCCCTCATCTCTCAGAGCTTCTTCCGTTTGTGAGTGCTAGGAGTAGGGTCTCTCGGCCTACGTAGGCCTGAGAATATGGATCTTAAAGTTACTGTTGGCTCCAAAACCTCAGAGAAAACTCAGTATGAAGAAGCACTTCCTTGCCATCCAAGTCTTCAAGTAAAATTAAAAATTAAGGCGGGGCGCGGTGGCTCATGCCTGTAATCCCAGCACTTTGGGAGGCCGAGGCAGGAGGATCACGAGGTCAGGAGATTGAGACCATCCTGGCTAACATGGTGAAACCCCACCTCTACTAAAAATACAAAAAAAAAAAAAAAAATTAGCCGGGCGTGGTGGCTACTCAGGAGGCTGAGGCAGGAGAATCACTGGAACGCAGGAGGTGGGGTTGCAGTGAGCTGAGAGCACACCACTGCTCTCCAGCCTGGGCGACAGAGCGAGACTCCATCTCAAAAAAGAAAATTAAAAAAAAAAAAAAAAAAGCACTTCCCATCAGAACTCCCAGAAAGCAGTGAGTCCACCCTCCCTGCACATGCACAAGTTGGGTGGGGACAGGCAGGAAGGGAGCTCATCTAGGTGTCAGCGTAATATTGAGGGGCAGTGGCAGTGGCAGCATGTGCTTTTTCCACCAATGCCCCAGTGTCTCAAAAGCCCAGGAGGGGAAAAAAATTCAACTGTCAGACACTTGGTAGAGCTGTCAGAAACGCATGACACGAGCTACCTACCTGGTGAAACTGAAGACATCACTCTATTTTATCTTCAATAACAATGAAAATTCACATTTTTCCATCAGAAAGTGAAAACACAGACTCTGGGCGCCCCCACGTGGAAAGATCTGGTGCTGCCACCACCACCTCACCTTTGGCCACAGCCACTGCATCAGTGCCCCACCGGGGCCTACCCCCATCCCGGGGCCAGGTCTTGGCCTGTGTGTGGACGCACAGGAGGGAGGGAAGTGAGGAGGTCACTGCCCTGAAAAACAGCTGGAAAAACTCCAGGAAGGGAGGAGAAAACCAGAAAAGCCAAGAGGAGGAGTCAGAGTAGGAAAGAAAAGCCCCAAATGTGAGTTCTGGTTCTCTTGTTGTCATGGACTGTGTGACCCTGGGCAAGCTGCTCCTCTCTCTGGGCCTCAGTTTCCCCATCTATAAACTGGCAATAGGGCTGGCTGGCCTCTAAGTTCCTCCCGGCCACTGAACTCAGACTAGCCTACCAGAGAGAAGCCCAGAGCCCCAAGCAGAGCCATGACGTGTGTCCTTAATTACTGCACATCCCATAATTATACCTCATACCTGGGCCAGACCAGTTCCATCCACTCCACACCCACTCACTACAGGGAGCTCTGTACCAGGCCCTCAGGACAAAGGAGGGACACCCCCAGGCAGTGTGGATTCTTGGGGCAGATTGAAAAGGACATGAAACTCAGACGCCTGCGCGACTGAGGGGCTCAGAAACGAGGGCAGAGGCAGAGATTTCCCAAGCGGGGAAACGCCAGGGTGTCATGGAAGAGGTGGAATTTGGGCCCTTGGAAGATGAGAGCTCATCATTGCAAAATGTAGTGGTGGGCAAGAAGTAGGTTCCCAGCAGATGGAGCAACTTGAGTAAAGGCTTGGAGGTGGGAGCCTGTGCACTGGGCCCAGCAAATGGTCTAGCATGGCGGGAGCTGCGAACATTCAGGAGTGAGGTGATGGAGCCACAGGACTGACCCAAGAGACGCCTTGGATACCAGGCCAGGGGACTCAGGTGGAACAGTGCAGGTTATGCTATGCATCGCTATGCTATGAGGAGCCAACCCCAGACCCTGGTCCCTGGGAAGGGTCAGTGTCATTTAACAGATCATGTCCTGGGACCATAGCAGGGTCCTTCAAGACAGGCAGTGCTCTAAGGTTTCGGAATCCCCCTCCTAGTCCCACCATGCTCATGCTCATTTACCCAGTGAGGCCTGGGGGGCTCACAAAGGGCAGGTGTGTTGCCAGTCACCTAGCATGTCCGTGTTGGAAGCCCGCCTTCGCTATGCCTAACTGCACGTCCACCATTCAGCCCCCAAAGGGCACTTGTTCTGGCCCCCGGGTGAGGGTCGGAGCCCCTGTAGCCGGACCAGCGGGGCCCCAGGTCGGCCGGGGAGGGGGTCGGCGGGCCGACCGGCTCTCTGTCCCGCGCAGTGTGCGCCCCGCACGAGTTCCAGTGCGGCAACCGCTCGTGCCTGGCCGCCGTGTTCGTGTGCGACGGCGACGACGACTGTGGTGACGGCAGCGATGAGCGCGGCTGTGCAGACCCGGCCTGCGGGCCCCGCGAGTTCCGCTGCGGCGGCGATGGCGGCGGCGCCTGCATCCCGGAGCGCTGGGTCTGCGACCGCCAGTTTGACTGCGAGGACCGCTCGGACGAGGCAGCCGAGCTCTGCGGCCGTCCGGGCCCCGGGGCCACGTCCGCGCCCGCCGCCTGCGCCACCGCCTCCCAGTTCGCCTGCCGCAGCGGCGAGTGCGTGCACCTGGGCTGGCGCTGCGACGGCGACCGCGACTGCAAAGACAAATCGGACGAGGCCGACTGCCGTAAGCCCCCTCCATACCGCCCAGCCCCGCCCAGGGATTGCGGATCCGCTATCCGATCCGGATCCGCCAGGTGCAGGCTTCCTTTCATTGCCTTACCTGAATACATTACCCGGGTTTACTACAGAGGAGACCGAGGCTGGGAGAAGTGAGGTGACTTATTTGAATTCACGCAGCTGCCGGGCTGCGGAGCTCAGGTCTAACTCCAGAAGCCTCCACTGGTATCTGTGTCCCTGCTGTGAGCCCTCCCAGTCGTACTTCCCACCCCCATCCCCCGAACCCCTCCACCCAGAAACCTGGCAGGCTCAGGAGCTCCCCCCATCTCTTTACCCGCTAGGCCTGCTCATTCCTCAAGGCCTGGCCTAGACTCCTCTGACCTTCCCAGCTGGGCTGGGTCCCTCTGCTGGGCAGGTCCCCAGCAGCTTTCTCTTATAGCTCATCTCACACTGATGTCCCCATCTGAGCATTCCTCACCCTTGCTCTGCACCCTGAGCTCCTAGAGGATGAGGAGGCTCTTAGGAGTCTCTGGGCTCCCACCCCCACCTCCACCTCTCCCAGCACAGCACCTGGCACAGGAAGGTTTGCCAAATGGATGAAGTCATTAAGTAATGAGCACCAAGACTCAAAAGAAGGCCGTGTGTCTGTTCTGAGGAGTGGCCCTGGAGAGAGGCAGGGACAGGGAAACAGGAGATCTGGGTTTAGTCCTGAATCTGCCAGCCAGAGTGCTGTGTGACCCTGGGCAAGGCCTTCCCCCTCTCTGAGCTTCAGTCTCCCCATCTGTACACTGAGGTGCCTTGGCCAGGTGTCCTTTGAGGACTCCTGAGTTCAGCCACTGGTTCTGTTTTTGCTGGGGGTGGCTATGGCATGGGGATTGGGGTGGTGGGGAAATTGTCCTAGCACCACACTGACTCTGATCCTCTCCCCTTGCCCTCTCCTGGCAGCACTGGGCACCTGCCGTGGGGACGAGTTCCAGTGTGGGGATGGGACATGTGTCCTTGCAATCAAGCACTGCAACCAGGAGCAGGACTGTCCAGATGGGAGTGATGAAGCTGGCTGCCTACAGGGTGCGTGTGGTCAGGGCACAGAACACATCCTCTGTGAGGATGCCCTAGGCTCTGGTAACTCTCCAGAGGGCAGAGTTGGGAGGAGTTTCCCCTTGGTCCCCAAGATGCATTTTCCCCCAGAGCATCACTTGCCCCTAAATCACCTGGCTCCCTTTCCATGGGGTCCTAGTAGCACCAGAACTGGATTTGTAAGGACTTTGCCAAAGCTGAAAGACACCTAGGGGGACATGACAGAGCACTTGGGAAGTCCAGCCCCCACCACTTGTCCAGGTCCCAGCTGGTGAGTGGCTTCCCTCACTAGTTCCCAGGCTGAGCAGAGGCTGAGTCTTGCTCCCCAGGGAGCCCCTTTAGTTCTCAGATGGTTCTTCTGGTCACCACCTGCCCTCTGCAGGAGCAGGGACCCTCATTCACTAGTCATCTTGGGGAATGGATAACAGGCTGGGCAGTGTAGCAACTTCCCCTATCCGGGGTCCATGGGGCAAAGTCCCCCCAGGAGATGATCAGTCCAGCCTCTAAGGTCTCTCTAGAGCTGCTGCCTGGTCCTCCTAGGACCTGAGTCCTGCAAGATGAGACGCAGATCCCCACAGCCCTGCCCAGCTACATGAGGCTTAGCCTCCTAATCATCCCTGGGATCCTGTCCTGTGAGCAGAGCTTCCTCAGTTCCTGGATTTACCTGTCTGTCCTGGGCCACCCTCCAGGGACCTGTGAGGGACTGGAACTGGAGCTCTGCTTGCCTCCTGTGGGCCCCAGCCCAGCCCTTCTTGTCCAAGGTCTCACAGGCACTGTCCACTCTCTTGTCCGGCCCAACAGAGTCACCCTGTGAGGGTCCCCGCAGATTTCAGTGTAAGAGTGGCAAGCGCGTGGACGGCGGGAAAGTGTGTGATGTGCAGAGGGACTGCCGGGACTGGTCGGATGAGCTTCTGAAAGTGTGGTGCGGTGCCTGTCTACGCCCACTGGCTGGACTCAGTCTCCTACCATCCCCCTCCTGGTATCTAGGCTCAAGGCCCTCCAGTGCCCCCTGCCCTGACACTTTCTGCTCTGACCCTCTCTTTGGATTCATGTGCCGTCCTATGGCTTCACATGGGGCTTTTCGCCCCCAGGCCTCTGGTCTACATCTCTACAAAGTGCTAAGAGCTTGTCCATCCCAGGTACTAAAAAATTATGTTTTCTCTCACAAACTTGGCCTTTCCTCATTCCTTCCCCGTTCAGACCTCTGAGACCTTCTGGAACTTTCTCTCTTCCTCGGTGTTCCTCCCCTGCTGACCCAGCCAAGGCCCTGGGCTCTGAGGTCTTCTAGCCCCTTGCAGAAGACCCAGCAGAGGGAGAAGTGGGCACAGCAGGCAGGCAGCCAGGTGAAGCACATCCCAGGGCCACTGCTCAGGCCATACCTGTGTGGGAGTAAGGCAGGCCTTGCAGCAGGAGGTGGCACCATCCTAAGCCCTGAGGAGTTCGGACCTGATGGGGAGACCAGACTTGGAGGCCAGACTAAAGCGAGACCTGGATGGAAGTGGCTGCCCTGATGTCGGCTACAGCTGTCAGGGTGGGTTCCAGGCTAGAAAGAACAGAGGCTCCAGGCTGTAGGTAGGGTGGGCATCCCAGAGAACATGCTAGAAACCCAGTGTGGACTCCAGGAAGGTTCATGAGTTTTTTTTTGTTTTTTGTTTTTACTGTTCCCAGGTTAGGGCTTGAGGGAGATTTGACAGAGAAGCCCTGGGAGGACAGAGGCTAGGTCAGTCCCTCCCTTTCCTGCCTTCTGGCAGACTGTTTCCCCAGCACCTACCTCCTGGGTGCTTAGAGGAGGTTCATCCTCCTGAGCTTCCCAGGAAGAGCATATTTCCTTCCCCTTTTGAAGATTAAAAAACTGATTGTGAAAGGAAGAGTAGTTGAGTGAAAGTGACTCAGCTTCTACCTGAGCTGGCAGGAGATAGACACTCCCTCTGCCTCCAGGCCCTGCCAAGAGAAGTCCCAGAAGAAGGAACTTGTGGAAAAAGAGACAGGGAAGCCAGAACTACTGAGCCTAGCTCCCCCAACACCCAGATTTGGAGTAGCCAGGGACTACTGTCCTACTAATCCCTCTCTTCTCTCTCGTCGTTTGCATGACACACCAAAGAGGAGTACGTACACACGTGCTTGTGTCTGTGTGTGGCCTCTGTCTCTGTGTTGGTGAGAGGCCGGTGTCTGTATCCATGTCTTCTTCTCTGAGTAAAGCAGGGGAACTGCATTCATGCATCTATGTGTGTGACCCCATGTATGTGTGAATGTATCTATGGAGTCCATGGGACTGTTTGTGCTCTGCACATAAGCTGGTATGTGTGCATGTAGTTGTGGGCATGCTGGTGTGTGCATGTAGGTGTGTGCAGTGACACCACTTCTTCCTTCCATGGAAGGAAGCCGCAAATACTACTCTGGCCTCTCTGCACCACTCTACCCCATCCCCCTCCTCTCCTGGCTCCCCAGCGGAATCACACCCAGGCTAGGTAGAATTAAGAAGGACTGAAGACTTCCCTGCAGGCATTTGGGGAAAGGTTACAGGGACAGACAGGTGCAGACCTGCTCTCCTTTCTCTTCCCCTCACCCACCTGAGCCCTGGAGGACTCTGTGCCTTCCTTCATCAGAAGCCAGTCACTTTGAGTTCTCTCCTTTCCCCTTCCCCCTTTCAGGGCCATCCCACCTACACATGCCACTTCATCAAGTGCTCAGTAAATAGAATTGTTGAGTTGTTGCTAGCTGCAAAAGGAGAGGAAGGAGGCGAGTGGATGCATGATGGGGGCAGTGGGTGAGTGGGAGGACAGATGAATGAACGGTGCTCAGGGAATAACACAGGAAAGGAGAGGTCAGGGAGGGCTCCGAGCGACTGAAAGATTCCTAGAGGTGGGAGCTGCCGTGGCTCAGCCCACCTCCAAGGGTCTGAGGCTTCCCAGGGCTGGGCCTGGCTGAGTCATCCCTGGGTCCCCCAGTCATGGAGTTGCTGTGGTCTTGTTCTTTCAGTTCCGCCAACATTCCTGGGAAACAGGAGGAGGCCCAGGGGTAAAGGGGTTATTCCCTAAGCATGGCTCAGGCTGGAAGTGGGGGCACCCCATAGCTGTGCATGGCCTGGGGTGGGCAGCTCAGACCAGCTATATGCATGGCCATGGCTGGCTCAGCTCAGCACTGCTTGGCTTGGCTGGAGTGGCAGTGCATGAGCCTGGGGGGCAGAGGGGGAGAGGGGCGCGGCACCTCTCCTTGGCTTGTGGAATTAACCTTCTGTGACTCTAAAGCTCAGGAGAGGCTGTAAGAGCATTGGTCCTGGATTCCCTGACCTCCCCTAAGACCCTGCCAGAAGGTAGTGAGGGAGTGGAGGATGGGGAACCAGAACCAGATGACCTCTGGGCATCCCTTCACCTCTTGCAGCAGGTGGTAATCCTGGAACCGGGCCCATGACAAGATAGGAGGAACAGGGACAGGTGCTGAGAGGAGAGGAGTTAAAAAACCCATCATATTAGTTCATGATAGGAGAGAATTGATTTAGCAATGGCTCCATGTTAAAAAAGGCCCAGGAGTCTTAAATAACCACAAGCACATTAGGGGGGGCATCCTGTGTTGTTCAGGTTCCTTCTGGGTGGCAAACTAGCTCTGGGCCCTGTCCAGACAGGGACATGGACAGATGGAGTGAGTCCAGAGAAAGGCACCCAAATGGCAGGAGACCAGATATCAGTGCTTTAAGGGAGCCTGTGCACCCTGGCCAACCCCACACAGCAGAGCTGGGAGCACAAGCAGAAGCCTCAGCAGGCAGTGCTGGTCCACAGTGGAGCCAGCTGCCCCAGGAGGGAAGTGGGCTCCCTGAGGCTGGAGATATTTAAGCAGGGGCATTTTGGAAGGGATTCTTAGGGTATCCTGAGGGTTGGATGTGACACACACAGGACCCTTCAACTCTGAGGTCACGAGGAAGGAGGCGCTGTGAGAAACATGTTTGTGAAAGGAAAGACCTTGGGCCACTGGGGAAGGCCTAGCTGCCTCCAGCTTGGTGGTGGACAGAGCCCCAGCCGGGAGGCCGGGGACCTAAGTTCTGGTTCCACTCTACCCTGTCTCTGTGTCTGGCCTGGAGTAGGAACCTGCCCTCTCTGTGCCGCCTGCTGCCCAGAACACCTGGTAGATGAGGCTGAGGCTCAGTGAGGTTGTGGAGCCCTCCTGCCTCTATGGGAGTCCCACTGCCCTGAGGCTCTGCTTCTGCTCTAGGTCCTACCCCTGCCCTGCCCCCACTCCTCCTGGGCTCCTGGACCTTCAGGAGCCCATGTCCCTCCCCAGGGCTGAACGAGTGTCTGCACAACAATGGCGGCTGCTCACACATCTGCACTGACCTCAAGATTGGCTTTGAATGCACGTGCCCAGCAGGCTTCCAGCTCCTGGACCAGAAGACCTGTGGCGGTGAGACCTTCTCCCACACCCCCAAGCAGAAGCAGATCCTCCTGCTGGTTCTGACTCCTGCTCCTCCCCACAGACATTGATGAGTGCAAGGACCCAGATGCCTGCAGCCAGATCTGTGTCAATTACAAGGGCTATTTTAAGTGTGAGTGCTACCCTGGCTACGAGATGGACCTACTGACCAAGAACTGCAAGGCTGCTGGTATGAACACCCCAAGGGCAGAGGGGCAGCTCTGAAAGGCATACAGGAAGCAGCGTGCTTCCACTTGTGAGGAGTGGGCGTGTACATGTGCGCACACACAAGAAGGCAGGTTGTGTTACTGAGAGGTACGGGAATCCTCGGTCCCTTGTCTAGCTTGGGAGAAAGAATTCAGCCAAGAGACAATTAGTAACATAAGCCGAAGGTTTATTAAGGAGATAAGAGTACAATCTAAGACAGGAGCAGGCTGACCCAGCTGGGAGCAGCAGCAATAGCTGTGTTTCTTTAAAGGGACAGTGCACTCTGAAAGGTGACGCAGAGTGGGGGCAGCCTGCTAAAAGAGAATGAACCAGCGGCAGCCCTAAGAGTTCTGCATTGGGTTTTTTTCTTGAAGTTCCTGTCTCTGTCCTAAATCTCTGCCATTTTCTTTGTCTAGTTTTCCCATTCCTGCTTTAAGTCCCTGCCTGTTCCTCACCTAGTTCCCACCCAGGCTTGTGGGACCTCCCCTTACTATTAGCTTGTGTGCATGCCCAGCTCTGGGCACAAATACTACCTAATGGTGCCATCACTCGTTACCACCACCCTAGGAAGGTTGTATAGCAGTCAAATCTGATTGGGCCTGCATATTTCTTAGGGATTTCCCCTTTGCCCTTCCCCTCCTCCTCAACATGCAGCTAGCTACATTCTGATGGGAGAACTGCAGAGTGAGCAGTTTCTGGGCATCTTAAGGGGCATTCCTTTCTGCAGAGGCATTTCCCCTCCTCTCTGCTCATATCTAGCATGAATGTTTTGGGTGGTCTCTAGGTGTGAGATTTTCTAGACTTCCCTTTTCTCAGGGACTCCCCCTTCTGCTCATGTCCAGCTGTCTGCCTACTCTAGCAGTTGCACACACAGTGCTCAAAAGTGTACATACACATCACACACACAACGCACTGCACACTAACACCCACACAGACACTGTATAGAGCCACCCAATATAGCCCACAGAGATGACACTCATACAACAGAATATGAACCACACAGAGACTACACACACAGCATATGGAGTCCACACAAAGAGCACGACCTGGGCAGACCTACACATTGATCAATTCAGCCAGCAGAATTAATTCATTGTATTCAGTTGTTTATATTGAACACCTAACATTGTAGTAGACACTGGGGATTCAGCAGTAAGCAAAACAGATGCAAATCCCTGTCTGCCCTCAAGGGACTCATATTCTAATGGGTGAGCCAGGCTAGAAATCAGATAAATACATAAAATATAGTGCATGGCAGATGGCGATAAGGGCTAAGGAAAAATAGAAAGTAGAGAATGGGAATAGGGAAGTCCAGGTGAGCAGGGGGTTCTAGTTTTAAATGGAATGGTCAGGGAAGCCCTCACTGAGAAGGTATTTGAGTAAAGAAGGTGAAGGGGGGTGGGTGTGGTGGCTCACGCTTGTAATCCCAACACTTTGGGAGGCCTAGGCAGGAAGATCACTTGAGGCCAGGAGTTCAAGACTAGTCTGGGCAATGTAGTAAGACCCTATATCTAAAAAAAAATTTAAAAACTAGCCAGGTATAGTACCATGCACCTATAGTCCCAAGCTACTCAGGAGACTGAGGCAGGAAGATCCCTTGAGCCTGGGAGTTTGAGGTCACAGTGAGTTATGATGCCACTGCACTCCAGCCTGGGTGACAGAGTGAGACCTTTTCTAAAAAAAAAAATAATAATAATAATAAATAAAAAGGGAGTGAGGGAGGTGAGACAGTAAGCTACCATGCAATTATCTATAGGAACAAGCATTTCAGGCTGAAGAGACAGAAACCGCAAAAGCCCTAATGCAGGAGCATGCCTAGTATGTTCAAGGAATAGCAAGGAAGCTGGTACAGTTGGAGCAAGGAAACTAGGAAGAGATGAAGCCAGAGAGGTGGCTTGGGGCAGCCCAAAGGGCCTTCTAGACCATTGTAAGAGCCAGCTCTGGATTTCACTCTAACTGGGGGGAAACCATTGAGGGCTCTGAGTAGGGAAGGGACATGGTGTGACATTTTATTCTGACTGCAGTATTGAGAACAGACTGTAGAGGACAAGGGAGAAGGCAGGGAAACCACTTAAGAGGTCATTGCAATAATCCAGAAGCGAGGTGATGGTGGCTGAACCCTTATTCCCACATTATTACTGTGGGAATAATGAAAAGTGGACAGACTGCAGATATAGTGCAAAGGCCAGCCAACAGGATTTGCTTATGAATTGAATGTGGAATGTGGAAAAAAAAGTTACAGCAACTGAAAAAATAAGATTGCTACGTATGGGCTTGGGAAAGATGGTGAGGGAAGCAGGTTTGGAGGAATCTTAGGCTGTTTTGGACATGTTATGTTTAAGAAAACTGGTTAGGTATCCAAGTAGAGATATTGAGAAGGCAGCTGGATATATGAGTCTGGAGTTCATATGCAAGTTAAATACAATATACAACAGATAAATTATAACAATACAGCAGCCATAATACTGACATGTAGCCCATAAACCCAAAAACTGTAACACCCAAACTGTACAATATGTAACTCATACATTAGTATATCACATATAACGTGTAACCTGTTCTTGCCCCCATATAGAACACATGTAATACATGACACAGATTATGTACATGCACTGGAGACAACATGCAACTACCCATGCATATACAAAATCCACACACATGAATATTTCAAGTGCAGTTACATAAAATCTCAAATCATAAACACAGGGGGTTCCTGTCACAGTCACAGCTGTCATTTAAGATCACTCCAACATGCCCCTTTAACCTGGCTCCTGCCTTCAGGGAGGTGAAGTGTCATTACTGTCATTTTGGGGTGAGGGAAATCACAGCTTGTCAGTGGCAGAGCTGGCCTGTAACTCAGCTTTCATCCTTGCCCCTTCCTGCACCTTGAGCCCATTCTCCATGCTATTTGTACCACACTTCTGTCTCACTCCCACCCTGCTTTGAATTAGTCTCCATCACTACACACAGGTCACACACCCAGCCCCAGGCCCTACCTGACTCTGTGCTGGTCCCATCCTCCAGGGAGCACATTAGCTTGGCAAAGATGCACAGTGACAGGGACTGGTGGCTGGCAGAAGTGTCAGCTGGAAAACAAGAGAAGGAGGCACAGGGAGCTTGAGGGGCAGGTGTTACTAGGAGCAGCCCCTCAGACAGTGTTGGTGCCTGAGAGTGGCCCAATACATCTAGAAACAGCCTGTGGGAGCTGGTGCTAGGCCCTCAGAGGCCCATGGGACAGTGTCCTCCCATATGGAGTAGCCAGGAAAGTCTAGGTCACTTATTTATCATCTTAAAATCTAACCCTAAATCTAAGAAAAATACAGGTTTTGTGTATACATGAGCAGTTTATGTTGTCTCTACTGCATATATATAATCTGTGTTGTATATCATATATGTCCCATCTCTGCCATTGGCTCAGGATAGAGAACAAACTCACCCAGCTCATAGGACCTTTTGTGATCTGGCCCCTGCCAATCTCTGAAGCTCATCTCTTGCTATGTCCCCAATACTTTCTATCCTGAATCATCTTTTTTTTTTTCCTTTGAGACAGAGTCTCTGTCACTCAGGCTGGAGTGCAGTGGCACAATCATGGCTCACTGCAGCCTTAACCTCCCGGGCTCAAATGATTCTCCCACTTCAGCCTCCTGAGTAGCTGGGACTACAGGCATGTGCCACCATGCCCAGCTAATTTTTTTTTTATTTTTATTTTTAGAGATGGGATTTTGCCATATTACCCAGGCTAGTCTCAAACTCCTGGCCTCAAGCGATGTGCCAGCCTCAGCCTCCTAAAGTGCTGGGATTACAGGTGTGAGCCACTGTGCCTGGCCCCTAGTTATCTTTCTAAGACACTTACTTGCTCAGGTAGTTCCTTCTTGAACCACAGCAGTAGGGCCCAAGCAGAGAAGATGATAGTTGCTGGAAAGAAATACATAGTAGGTGGAAGGGACAACCTGAGCAAAGGCTCTGAGGCAGGAAGCCCATCCATGGCTAGGTAATGGTATCTGGTAGGTGGAATCAAGCTATGTTGGAGAGGCGAGTAATGAGGCTGGACAGGGAACTTGGGGTCACACTGTGGAAGGCTTTCAGTGCAGGCCTAAGGAGAAAATGGGGAGCCATAAAAGATTTTGGAGAAGTTTGTATCTAATAAAAAGAATAAGAATCTTCCTGCTATGCGTGGTGCTCTGCATCTTCTGCTTTCTGTACTCATTATTTCATCTGCTCCTGCAACCTGTAAAGTAGGAATTGTCACTACTATTTTAAGGAAAATGGATGTGTCAGCCAGCAAGCCAGTGGCAGAGTCTTGGTCTCCAGGCTCCCTGCCTCTTGCACTGACTCTTTCTCTTTCAACCTCCCTGCATGACAGCTGGCAAGAGCCCATCCCTAATCTTCACCAACCGGCACGAGGTGCGGAGGATCGACCTGGTGAAGCGGAACTATTCACGCCTCATCCCCATGCTCAAGAATGTCGTGGCACTAGATGTGGAAGTTGCCACCAATCGCATCTACTGGTGTGACCTCTCCTACCGTAAGATCTATAGGTGAGCGGCCATATCCTCTGCAGCAAGGCATGAAGAGTGGGGGTGAGGGGTGGTGACAGGTGAGGAGGGGAGGAGTGGTGTCTGCCTCTAGAGCTCCTCAGGACAGAGTTGGGACTTGGGAAGAGATGCAGGATCACAGTGGATATGGAACTTCTGGGACTTTACTGGGGCTGGAGTAGTCTGAGGGCTCCCTTGGGTTAGCAGCTTTGAGCCCCAAACACCTGGGATTTGTCTGACCTCTGGAGGCCTAATATGGAAGCACAAGACACAGGAACTGTTTGGCCAGGGCAGAAAGGAAGAAATCCTGGCTTTGGGGAGGACTTTCCAAGCAGCTCACATCCCTGTGTGTTGGAACCTGGGGACTTAGACCTGGTCCCTGCCCAGAGGATCCCACTCACAACACAGTGACATCCATTTGTGATGATCATGAGAAAGTACAGAGGAGGCCTCCGAACCCACCTGGGCATCTGATCTGGCATGCCTTCCTGGATGGCATCACCCCAAGGCCAGCTTTTCACTGTCTTTGACGCCACAGTCAGTGGACCTGGTGCTTGGGAAGCTCTTCACACACTGGAGGAGGTTCTCTCCTAGGACTTTCTCAGATGCCAGCACCTGCCCCACTGCATGTCTGGGCCCTCTTCAGGCAGTCATGTCCTTTCTTTGTCCTGAGATCCACTTGGCAGGAATGCCGATGACCAGGCGCTGGGTAGACACTGAGTCACTGATGAAAGAATGATGGGACAGATGGGTGGAAGAGTGGATGGAAGCAAATATAGCAAGTGCTACTCACTGACAACTAGATTCCTGCCTCCCTGCAACATACAGACACTCCGTTCACACACACCCAAAAACATAACTAGAACAATGCCTGTCCAAGAGATGTAACTGAAAGAGGCAGGATTTGGTGACAGACTAGATATGGGGCTGATGGAAGAAATTTACTCCTTCATAGTGAATTTTGGGAGTTTCAGGTTTTTGGCTTGGGAGGTTTCATGAATGGTGGTGCTGTTCTCTGATGTGTGAAGCAGTAGAGGAGGATCAGGGCTCAGGGTTTGGGCCGTCTGGTTGGCCGAGGGGAAGGGAATGGGGATGAACAGTTTTGGACATATTGAGTTCAAGGTGTCCATGGGACATCCAAGGGGAGCTAGTTAGCTTTGCAGTCTGGATCGTAAGAGAGCTGTTGGGATTGGAGACTTAGTTATTGATGGCAGTGGACACTAAGGAACTAATCACCCAGAGAGAGGGCAAGAAGAAGAAAACCTCTGGGGAAACAGCATTTGCTATTTTGCTAATGTTGCCTCCTGAGTGTCTACTGTATTCTTAGCCCTTCTTTCCATTCTCACTGGCACGGTCATTCTTCAGACTCTCTTAATCTCCCACCCAGATGCTGTAACGTCCTCCTAACCAGTTTCCCTGCTTCATTCCCTCTCCTTCCAACCCATCCACTCCATAGATGCCACAGTGAACTAACATGCTTATTGGACTATATCCTCTGGCCTGTCTAGTTATCACTGGGGAGAAATCCTAATTCCTTGGCGTGGTACTCAAAGCCCATCAAGATGGGGTTCCTGCCTACACCTGCTTGCAGTCTGACACCCACATAAGCAGCTCCCCTAAGTATCTCACTGTTCCAGAGCAGACTCACCTCTGGCCATTTGCACAAGCCTTTCTTGTTCCCTAATGGCTTTCTGTCCTGGTGACTTCATGCTCCTGGTGAACTCGTCCTTCAGGACTCAACTATAAAGCCTTCTCCCGCCCTCTCGGATGAGGCAGTCTCCATGCCTCTGCTGCCATAGCCTCTAATGCTTTCCATAATCACATTGTATTATATCTGGCTCACCCTAATGGGCAGAGCTGTGGAGCAGCCCCACCTTAGAAAGCCAGAGACCGTGGCCCATGTAAGTCTGTACCCCTACCCTGGTACCCCAGGGAATGTGTAGAGTGGAAATTATCCACGTTCCTCTAAAAATCTATTGCCATGGCCCAGATGGAAGAGAGGGGAAGGGTGCACAGGTAGCTCCAGATGGGCCCATGGGTGGAACATCTGCCCCATGGTCATCTCTGTTTTCTCTTAAGCGCCTACATGGACAAGGCCAGTGACCCGAAAGAGCAGGAGGTCCTCATTGACGAGCAGTTGCACTCTCCAGAGGGCCTGGCAGTGGACTGGGTCCACAAGCACATCTACTGGACTGACTCGGGCAATAAGACCATCTCAGTGGCCACAGTTGATGGTGGCCGCCGACGCACTCTCTTCAGCCGTAACCTCAGTGAACCCCGGGCCATCGCTGTTGACCCCCTGCGAGGGTGAGTGTCCCAACTGAACTTCCCATTCTCCCACCATAGGTGCTCAGTCCTCTTGTGTCTGTCACAAGGGCTATCTTGAGGGTTCTAGAAAGCTCTGGGCCACTCAGACACAGGCCATGGGGAAGAAAGTCTTGTTAATCCCCAACCAAGGTTCTCTGGGCATTGGTCACCAAAGTTCTCCCTGGACTCTCCCACCCACTCGTTATATCGTAGAATTGGAGTGTCTCAGAGCAGAGTAGGGCTCTAGAGATGGCCTGATAGAAGCTCCTGGGGGAGGAAGCCTTTCTTCAGGCTGCTGTAGGTGAGCATCTGACAGCTGCTCACATACTTCCAAAGACAGGTAGCTCATTACCTCCCATAGGGCCTGTTTCACCGTGGGGCAGCTCTGCTCATTAGAAAGTGGGTCTTTTCCCCTCATAATGCCAAATCTATCTCCCTGCAACTTCCTCCATTGGCCTCTGGAGTTACATAAAACATGTCTATTCCCTGCCCTGTGAGAGAGCCAGCAAGATTTGAGGACCAAGATCACTGGTCTGTTCTGCTTCAGACTGCCTGCCTCCATCCCTACCCCTGTTGCCTATGGTCTCTGGGCCCTCACCACCTAGGTTGCCCTGCTCTGGCCACCCCTCAGTTTTGGGAGTTAGGGATTCTGAACAGAACAGGACTCCCTCTCTCCCTCAGTGTGGATATCTTGAGATGGTTTTTTTAGCGTTATATCATGTTAAGTTTAACAGAATCAACAGCTGCTTCCTACTGCTATTTCCTTGTTAAACAGGGATAAGAAAACCCTCTTCTTCGAGCAAGGGCAGCTGGTGAGGGGAGTACCACATGGGAGGTTATGTGAGGCCTTGGGAAGTGACTGATAGCTGCCATTCACTAAGCATGGGTCAGGTGCTTCCAGCACAGAACTAGGCACTCTGACAGATACGGAGCCTCTCCTCTTACCCTCACTTCATCCCTGTTCTCTGTCTGTTCTCATGCAGACCTTGTGTTGCACCTGCCACATCCTGTCCCTCACATCATAGAGTTACACCCAGCCCAACCCCAATCCACTGCGGATCGTCAGGGTCCCAGGAGGAAACCCACTGCATACTCAAGATAATCAGAGGAGGGTTTAATAAAGGGACTATTTACAAAGGAGTGGGTTAGGTCTAATTTACTACCTTGGATTAGTAACAGTGGGCTGCTACTGGCCCTAGTAGGCCTGAGGAGACAAAAGCAGGGAGGGTTACCTGAGTTAGGAAGCTCATCCACTTTCTCCTCTGAAACCAGAAAAGAGAGGGCTTACTAGGGCCTTCCCCACACTGACACCCTAGGGCTCTAGTTAGTTAGCACTGCCAGAAGTGGGAGAGATGGGGTCACAGGCTATTCAGCTGAGTCTGGGTGCAATCTCGGAGAATAGTTTTCCTCAAGTTCTCAAATGAGGTGAAGGCTAAAGTGCCTGCTAAATCTAAGATTTGATGGTTCAAAAGAACTTTAGAGGTCTTCTCAGTCCCTACTAAACATAAACCACAACTAGTCAATGGGTTATTGAGCTCTTGTGACTCAGACCACCCCGGTCATGTCCCCAGCAAGAAGGCAAATTGGGTTATTTTGTCTTTTAGGTTCATGTATTGGTCTGACTGGGGGGACCAGGCCAAGATTGAGAAATCTGGGCTCAACGGTGTGGACCGGCAAACACTGGTGTCAGACAATATTGAATGGCCCAACGGAATCACCCTGGGTGAGCCCTGCCTTTCCTGGGTTGGGGGCCTATTCTAGTGCCTTGTCCTGATCACTGTCTGGAACTCCATGAGTCTTGTTTCTGGGTCCTCTCATGGTGCCAGTGACTTTGTTTCCTAATGGTTGCCGTAGGCTGGCCTCAGTGTGAGGCCTAGAAATGTGGGCAGGGAGAGGTACAAAGGAACAGAGCTCCAGACTGGGGTCCCAGGTTCATGACCTGATCCTGCTTCCTTCCCAAGATCTGCTGAGCCAGCGCTTGTACTGGGTAGACTCCAAGCTACACCAACTGTCCAGCATTGACTTCAGTGGAGGCAACAGAAAGACGCTGATCTCCTCCACTGACTTCCTGAGCCACCCTTTTGGGATAGCTGTGTTTGAGGTGAGTCCTGTAAGGAGAGGCAAGGGCCCACTAGGAAGCTGAAGCCTAGAAAATGCTTGTTCAAATAGGATGAGTCCCTGAGACTTGTTCAAATGAAAACAGGAACAGGGAAACCAACTGATTTGTTTGTAAACAATCTGTGAGCTGCCTGCACACAAAGGCTCTGCAGCCCACTCTCCACCTGGCAGCCTTTCCCACGCTCTCTTCCCAAGACCCCTCTCCCAGAGCACTTCTCACAGGTGAGCTGCTAGGCATGTATGTTTCCTCTCTGTGCCCTCAGCACCCAGCACTGTAACCCATATACAAAAGGCACCCAGTAAAGGGAGGAAAGGAAGAAGGAACATACATATCCTTAGAATCATTTACTGGAGGAAATGGCCTGAGAGATGCTGTTCAATTCTGCACACTTTTATTGACCTCTGCCAGACCCTGGGGTCATAGAAGTGAATCAGACACTATCCTAGTCTCAAGAAGCTCCCAGCAAAGTGAGGAGCGAAGACCCTCCTGTGCCCTGACCCTAATGACTTTTCTTCTCCGGGAATGAAGAAGCCAGAACCAACCAAGGTCTCACACCTTCACCTCTTCCCGAAAACTAACTCCACCACCAAGGGGAGGGAAAGCAAAGGGATGATGGTCTGTGGTGGGCATTGGCAGGATTTGCTTGCAGCAAAGTTACTCAGCACTGCTCTGAAGTTGTGGGCAAAGCTCCACCTCTAAGTCCAGCCCCTGCTTTAAAGGACAGGTGTGTTGGTACACAAGTGTTTGTGCTTGTTTATATACATGGCATGTACATGTAAAGTATGTGTATGTGCATGGGTAAATATAAATGCATCAGAATAAAAGTGTGCATTCCTCTAAGTGCTGGTGCTTATGTGTGTACATACATATACCAAGATGTATATAGACTGCATATTTAGGGGCAAATGTAGCTTTTTGTGTGTGGATGAACATTTGGGTATGTGTTTAGATCTGTGTATGAGGATGCACAGTTGTACCTGTACGTGTGGATTTGCTGACAGATGCACATCTAGGCTTATATGGACTAACCATGTGGACTCGTGTGGATACCCAGAGGCTACAGGAAGCCCAGCAAGGCATAACCCTCATAGCTCACACATTCCTTCCAATCTTGGTCCCAGGCCCCAGTAATGATAATGCTATAGAGATTTAACCTTGGGTTTCTGCTGGGCTCTAGCAAGCAGGCTTAGTTCAGCATGAATGAGTAATGTTGTGGCT
Source organism: Homo sapiens (assembly GCF_000001405.40). Classification (NCBI taxonomy): domain Eukaryota; kingdom Metazoa; phylum Chordata; class Mammalia; order Primates; family Hominidae; genus Homo; species Homo sapiens. The sequence goes on along the minus strand of NC_000001.11, from coordinate 53,260,831 downwards.
GTCAGTTCAAAGCACAGAATCACTGAATAATCCTCTAAGATAGAAGGGAACAAGGAGACGTGCATCACAGATTAGAGGCTGAGAGCCCCACCGTGAATCCATAGACAGGACAGATCAGGGGAGATTTCAGGGAAGTTCTTGTGACTATGGTTTGGGGCCAACCCCTCAGACTGAGGTCATGGATTTACACTCCAGGCCTCCCATCCTCTGCATCTATACCCCACAGGACAAGGTGTTCTGGACAGACCTGGAGAACGAGGCCATTTTCAGTGCAAATCGGCTCAATGGCCTGGAAATCTCCATCCTGGCTGAGAACCTCAACAACCCACATGACATTGTCATCTTCCATGAGCTGAAGCAGCCAAGAGGTGAGCTGTCTCTGGTCCTAGGTCCCAGGTCCCCTGACTGTGTCACTGTGTCCTCTCCTTTCACCAGGCAGGCTGTGTTCACATTCAGGTCACAACTCAGCAACCCCAGGAATAATAACAACAATCCCTCTTGTTGGTAGAGTACTTTTTCATCATATATTTTGTCTCATTTTACCTCAAGTTCTTTGTGAAATAAGGCTGGGTATAAATGAATACATAACTGTCCTGTTTTTGCCAATCCTACAAAGTGTGGGTATTACTCTTCTAACAGTTGAGGAAACGGAAGCTCAGAGAGGTAAAATAATGTTAGCAGGTGGCAGAACTGAAACCTAAACCCAGGTCTATCTGGTTCCACAGCTGCTTTCACCATGACACACTGCATCTAACTTGCTATTTGTAGCCATTCTGCAGTAGTATAAGCTAATGTATCCGAGGGCCATATAATAAGTCAGCTTATTGGTTGGGAATAGAATCTAGGAATCCTACTACTAGGTTGTCCCCTCCTCTATCACTAGGATACATTAATTCTAACTGTAACTGAAGTGTTGGCTGCCAGGGTGAAAGAGGGAGAGCAAGGGAGTGTAAGGAGCTAAGATTGGTGCCTGATTCTAGACCTAGAAATTTAAATGAGAGACATAGTATGTGGCACAGGGAAAAATAAAAACCGCGGGCTTATGGGCTTTGGAGCCCAGCCGACCTCAATTTAAGTTCTATCTCTAGTCCAGACATGGTGGCTCATGCCTGTAATCCCAACACTGAGAGGCTGAGGCAGGAGGATCCCTTGAGCACAGGAGCTCCAGGCAGCAGTGGGCTATGATTGCATTACTGCACTCCAGCCTGGGCGACAGAGCAAGACCCCTACCTCTTAAAAAAAAAAAAAATTCCTAGAGTATAGGTTTGACGAATTTGTTCTCTTTGAGCCTAGGTGTCTTTATTTGTCAGTCTGGGATGTAACGTCCCCACCTCTCAGAATTGTTGCAAGGATTAAATGAGAGTGTAGGGATAAAACACTAGGTATGGTGCTGGAAAGTACCCAATAAAAGTAGTAGGGAGGCCAGGCATGGTGGCTTATACCTGCAATTCCAGCACTTTGGGAGGCCAACGCAGGAGGATCACTTGAGCCCAGGAGTTTGGGACCAGCCTGGGCAAGAAGGCAAGACTCTATCACTACAAAAACTATAAAAATGACCCTTGTATGGTGGCATGCGCCTATAGTTCCAGCTACTCGGGAGGCCGAGGTGGGAGGATTTCTTAAGCCCAGGAGTTTGAGGCTGCAGTGAGCTATGATTGCACTGCTGCACTTAGTCTAGGCAACAGAGTGAGACCCTGTCTCAAAACATAAAACATAAAAAAAATTGAAAAAGTAGAAGGGCTTCACAATTGCAGAGATGTGGAACCAACCTAAGTGTCCATCAACTAATGAGTGAATAAAGAAAGTGTGGCATATATACACCTTGGAATACTACTCAGCCATAAAAAGGAACAAAATAATGTATTTTGCAGCAACTTGGATGGAGCTGGAAGCCATTATTCTAAGTAAAGTATGATAGTAGTGGAAAACCAAAAACTATATGCTCTCACTTATAAGCAGGAGCTAAGCTATGAGTACACAGGGGCATACAGAGTATAGCTAAGCTATGAGTACACAGGGGCATATAATGGACTTTAGAGACTAAAAATGGAGAAGGTAATAGCGGGGCTAGAGATTTAAAAAAAAAAAAATTACACATTAGGTACAATGTACACTACACTTGGGTTACAGGTGCGCTAAAGTACCAGAATTCACCACTATATAATTCATCCATGTAACAAAAAACGTGTATCCCAAAAGCTTTGGGGGATAAAAAAAGAAAGAAAAAGAAAAAAAATGTGAAAAAAAAAGTATAGGGCAAGCTTTTTGAGCAAGCCAGGTGGGAGAAGCCTCATCCTCAGGAGGCAGGAAGACCTGGCATGTCCTGTCTGTGCCCCAGCTGTCTCCCTCTCTGCCATTAGCTCCAGATGCCTGTGAGCTGAGTGTCCAGCCTAATGGAGGCTGTGAATACCTGTGCCTTCCTGCTCCTCAGATCTCCAGCCACTCTCCCAAGTACACATGTGCCTGTCCTGACACAATGTGGCTGGGTCCAGACATGAAGAGGTGCTACCGAGGTAAGCAGACCTTCCAGGAGGGATGGCCCCTGGCAGTGTCAGACCCTACCCTGCTGAAATCTTCCCTTGGCTTCTGGGACACAGTATGCTGCTGGTTTTCTTCCATCTTCCCTGGTTACTTGTTGCCTTTTGGGGGTTTCTCTTTTTTACCTTCCTTGAATGCTCATGCCCCCAGGATCCTTCCAAAGCTTTTTCTCACTCCCAAGGAAAAAATGCACATATACATAAAACATTTTAAATTCAGTTTCAGGGAGTTTCTGGAACGCTTTAAAAACCTCAAGTTAAGAACCCTTAATCGCCGTGGCTTCAGGTACATGCAGATAACTATATATTTGCCTGTTTCTCACCTAGAACTTAACAAACACTACACAGCAGCCCTTTTGCAATATAATTGGGACTAATAGTTAATACTTCAACCGCATACACAGATTCATGTCCTAATCTTGATGTATAGCCAAGGCCTTTCATTTGAGCCTAAGTCTACTGCATTATTAATGATTTACAGGTTCAATTGTTTAAAGTGGAATAAGAATTTCAATCTATTGGTATAACAATATATGAGTGTAAAATCCTTCTAGATTTATCTGATTTCCCCTCCCTACAGTCTTTTTATTGCTGATCTTACAACTAATTCCACAGCAATGTTTTAATGACTCATCTTTATTGAATCAAAGTGAAGTGCTTAGCATTCAGCTAAAGAAAAGATCATAGCCCACTGGGGAGATTAGGAAAGGCTTCACAGAAGTGGCATTTGAGCTACGCCATGAAGATAAGTTCCTAAGTATATCTCAGAGGCAATACCTTAGGCAACAAAATTATCTGTCCAAGTGACCTCCATGGTATTTCCCCTCCAGCACCTCAATCTACCTCAACTACGACGTTAGCTTCTACCATGACGAGGACAGTACCTGCCACCACAAGAGCCCCCGGGACCACCGTCCACAGATCCACCTACCAGAACCACAGCACAGAGACACCAAGCCTGACAGCTGCAGTCCCAAGCTCAGTTAGTGTCCCCAGGGCTCCCAGCATCAGCCCGTCTACCCTAAGCCCTGCAACCAGCAACCACTCCCAGCACTGTAAGGAAATGAGTTCTGCATTCTTTCATGACATGGGAGGGCTCCTAGGGAAGCCAGGAAGGGGGTATGTGATAAGACAGAACCTACCAGAGCTGAATACTGCATATCTTTGAGGAGGTTACTGCATATCTGAGAGGGAGGTAGAGTACCAGCCTGCGATTTAGGACTCATAGGTGCCCCTACCTTACAGAGGGTCTTGTAGGAAGCTGAGACCCTGTGAGCCTCAGTTGCTTCTCTTACAAAGTGGAAATAACCACCCTTCCACAACCTGCTTCACAAGATTGCCATGATAGACAAAGGTGTAACCGGTATAACTGGAGGTGCTCACGCACACAGCCGTTGCTGACTCTGCGAGGGTGTGTGTGTCTATGTTTCACAAAGTTCTGATGTGTATATGAGGAGGTGTCCCTTGTGTTTGGAAAGCTCTGATCTCAGTTCACAGCAGGTCCCCAGATAGTAATATCTACAACCATGGTCTCCTTATACCTCTTTCCAACCCTGGGATGAAAATAATTAAGTTCACCACTTATTAAATCATTGGGAGCAGTAATTGTCACTGCTAGAAATGTTCTATCTCATTAATCAGCAAATACCTTTTTAATTGAGTTACCTGCCAGAGGGAGTTCATTTAAAAGGATAAACTATCTTTTTAATTTTTTCCCCTACATGGACAGCCCAGAAACCAAGCTGCTTGGCAACATCTTCCTAACTGGTCCTATTTGCCAGCAGAAGCTGGCTTTTTGGAGTGGAGCACTTACTCCGAAGTTTGCAGAGGCAGATGGAGCATGTGTGAATTCCAGTTCCTCTCATCTGAGGGCAGAGCCTCTCACCAGCTTCTCCTCACTGGCTTCCTCATGCTCTAGGTTTTAATATCACTGTCCAGTGTTCGCTGTGGCCCAGAGCAGGGAGGACAGCAGGGAGGACACAGTTAGCTCTGGAAGCAAGCAGTGCAGCTTTTTCTCCCCTTAACTGTTAGATTCTCTTGGAGTAACATGGATAAACAGTCACATTGAGAGAGGATGGGCCTTGGGCCATTGCCGGGACAGTCATCTCACCTGCAGCAAGTGTAGATGATAGCTCCTTTTCACACCACAGGGAGCTGTCAGGAGGATCTAAGGGAAAAATGCTTTCTGAACTATAAAGTGCTTCACAAATGTTACAATGAAGATGGTTATAAGAGTGAGAAAGATGGCATGGCATAGTTTTTCAAAAAGACAGTAAATTTTCCAAGCACTTTTCAGTTTAAAATGTGCTTTTACATATCTTTTTAAAATTTAGACCCTATTCAACAACCCCATCCCACTCTCCACCCTCTTAGAACTAGGCAAAGTTGTGCCAAGCATTTTATATTCATTTTAGATAAATTATTTCATTTAATCCTTACCATATCCCTAGGAGGTAGGTAATATCACCATTTTAAAGATATAAAAGTATAATACCATGTGCTGTATTTATAATATATAATAATTTGCCCAAGGTCACATGGGTAGTGAGTAGTAGAGCTGGGACTTGAACCCAGAAGTCTGACACAGAAGTCTGCGCTTTTGATTCCTCTACACTATACTATGTCCCATTTCAATTACTTATGAAAAATAATCTGATAATGCAGATGGACAGACAGTTCACAAAAAACAATACTGGCAAAGCAACAGATACTGATGGAAAAAGGCAAATGACCTAGTCCATCAGCAACATAAAGACCTAAGTGCTCACTTTGCCATGCACAGCCCCCAGCTTCCTACTACCATGATGCTATGGAAAGGGTATGGGACTTGGGACATGAGTCCTGGGTTCAAGTCCCAGCTCTGCCACTTTTCTGAAACCCCTCAGTTAAGACTCAGTTTCCTTGCCTGTAAAATGGAGATAACCTCTGTCCTGCTTGCCTCACAGGAGTTGTGATAGGATCTGGAAAGACTGAATTATTAGGCAACAGCCAGGATCATCATTTTAGAATGAGGATGAGCAGCAGTTGGGTAGTTCTTACCACTTGAGGCCAGTAGGGGCTTGGACACACAGTGATAGAGCATCATTCTGCAAATGTTTGTGTTTTGCAGATGCAAATGAAGACAGTAAGATGGGCTCAACAGTCACTGCCGCTGTTATCGGGATCATCGTGCCCATAGGTGAGTGTGGCCCCCAGTCACTGAAGAGAAAAGAGAGACCCTGCTTAGGCCTAGGGAAGAGCGCTAGCAGGGTAGAGAACTTGGCCTGCCCTATTGACTTGTTCTGCCCTTGCAGCCTTCCTGCCCACCTCCCAGTCCTGATTTAATTTGGTTTTTTAGCCTAGCACACAAGGCTCTTCAGGACCTGGCCCCAGGTGACCTTCCAGGTACATCCCCCATCTCCCCACCCCTCGATTCACACTCTACACTCCAGCTATGTGAAGTGCGACTGTATGATCCCTAGGAACAGGGCTGGTATCTCTTGCTCACCATTCTCCCCAGCTCCTGGCAATGTCTAGCACATGGTAGGATATCAAGGATTTGTTGAATTAATGAATAGAGCTGCTTACCATTCCTTTAATAGGTCATACTGTCTTGTTTTCTTTCTGTTTGGTTTTCAACAAGTATTTATTAAGCAGCTACTATGTGCCAAACTCTGATAAGGGGAGGAAAGGCAGTTAAAGATGAATAAGACATGGTTCTGTCCTACAAAAGTTTATAGTCTTGTTAGAGAGACCCACATAACACAGATAAGTTCATTACGACCTGGTAGGTCCTAAGGTTAAGCTGCATGCACTGACTTCAGAGACAGTGCTGAGGAAACACTTAACTTGGGCTGGGGGAGGGGGAAGAGGGAAGAGGAGGTTTCCTAACAGAAGTGATATTTGAGCTGGGTCAGCCAAGTGAGGGAGGATCAAGAACAGTCCAAGCAGTGAAGACAGCATGAGTAAAGCCAGGAGTAGGAAATGGCCTGGAAGGGTCAGGGTGGGGTGGGTTTAGAGCTAGAAGGAGATCAGTATGGCCAGAGTATAACACTTTGTTAAGACCTCACAGAGAATCATGGGGGCTGATTCATTCTCTTCCACCCTGATGACCACACGGTATCCTGTACACCCCTCTCTTAGCAGTCTCATCTCGTAGCAGTATCTTTGCATTCTGATTGTCCATTCAGAGCTTTATCTCCCTTACTTGGCTATGAGTACTTCAAGGACAGGAACTTTGTCCTTTTATCCTGGGAATCTTCAGTATGCCGAGTTAGTCAGCAAATGTTTTAAAAACTTCTCCCCTGTGTAAGACACTGACTGTGCCAAGTGCCAAGGATCCAGGGAAGAAAAAAATAAAGACTTTAAGAGCTTTCAGTCTTTAATCAGGCAAAAATAAAGTCCTTTAAGGTAGATGTTAATACATGTCATTATGTGCTATGATAGGGGCATGTTGGATATAGATAGAGACAGAGGAACAATGTAATAGTGGCATGATACTCTTGTGAAGGGATGGTAGAAGGAAAGGTAATTCCAGAGTAAAAGTGGCGCTTCTGGAGAAGACAGCATTTGAATTGGCCTTGAAAGGCTTCACCAGGAAAGATGATGGTGAGGTGATTATTCCAGGATTATTTTGATTGGAGTGGAGAAAGATAAATCTACCCCTTTCTTGCCATCCTTTGCCCTATAGAAAGAGGCAGATATATGCTGTTTTGCTGACATAACTCACTCTGAAATATTCAATATTTTTAATTTCTGCTAATCTGAGGAGTGAAAGATGAGTATTATTTCCCTGACATTTCCCTGTGAGGTAGAGTATATTTTCGTAAGCTTATCAGCCCCTTTACTTATATTTTATCTGTTATGAATCGCCCACTCACAGTCTTTTCTTATTTTTCTATTGGCTATCTTTTTCTTATTTATAGAAATATTTATACATGACAAATATTAAACCTTTAAAATATATGTTACAAATATTTTCTTCCAGTCTGACATTTGGTTTTAAAGTTTGTTTATGGTATCTTTTGCCATGCATAAATATGAAACTTTTAAGTATCAGATTTGTCAATCTTTTAAGATTTCTGGGTTTTGTGTCTTGCTTAAGAAGGCCAGCCTCACTCTAACTTATTAAAATATCTCCTGATGTTTTTCTTTTCTACTTTAAACTTTTTTTTAGTATTAGGATATTAATCTATTTGGAATTTAAATTTTAGAGTATCGTATGAGGTAGAGATTTAACTGTTTTTTTCTCTATATACCTGTCTAGTTTCCCCAAAACCATCATTGAATAATCCATACTTCTCTCCTGACTTGCACGTCATCTTTATTATAAACTACCTCCCATACGTACTTTGATTTGCGTCTAAGCAGTTTATTTTCCTTCACTGATTTATATATTCCTACATACTATTAGCACAACTTCATGATATGTTATGCTCACAACATCTTCTCAGCTATTTTTATTCAGTTTCTCTTCTAGGTGAACTTCAGAATAATCTTATCAATTCTATAAAAATTTTGGTGAAGTTTTTATCAAGATTGTTTTAGATATATGAGTTTATGTGAGGAGAATATACCTTTTTATTATATTAAAGCTTCCCATCCAGAAATGTGGCCTATTTATTTCAGTCTTCTTTTACGTCCCTCAGCAGAATTTTATAGATTACACAGGACTTGCGTATTTCTTCTTAGGTTTTCCTAGGTATTTTATAGCTTTTGATGGGCTATTACGAATGTATTTTTATTCCATTACTTTTTCTTTTTCTTTTTCTTTTTAAGAGACAAGAAGATCTTGCACTCTTGCCCAGGCTGGAGTGCAGTGGTGCGATCACAGTTCACTGCATCCTCGAACTCCTGGGCTCAAGGGATTCTCCTGCCTCAGCATCCCGAGTAGCTGGGACTACAGGCATGCACCACCACACCTGGCTAATTTTTTAAATTAATTTTTTTGTAAAGACCAGGGCTCACCATCTTGCCCGGGCTGGTCTTGAACTCCAGGGTTCAAGCAATCCTCCTGCCTCAGCCTCCCAAAATGTTGGTATTACATATGTGAGCCACTGTGCCTGGCCTCCGTTAAATTTTCTAATTGGTTGTTGCTGATTAAAAAGACGGCTAATGATCTTTTATGTTGATTCTTGATTAACTAAAATTATTTCTGATAGTTTTTCACCAGCTTCTCTTAAGAGTTTCTAAAAATACAAATAGCTGTTAATAACAGTTTGGTTTCCTCCTTTCTCATATGTATTTATTTATTTACTTTTTTTTTTTTTTTTTTGAGACAAGGTCTCACTCTGTTGCCCAGGCTGGAGTGCAGTGGCATGATTGTGGCTCACTGCAGCCTTGACCTCCCAGGCTCAAGCAATCCTCCCACCTCAGCCTTCTGAGTAGCTGGGACTACAGGTGCCCGCCACCATGCCCAACTACTTTGTATTTTTTGTAGAGATGGGTTTTCGCCATGTTGGCCAGGCTGGTCTCGAACTCCTGGCCTCAAGTAATCTGCCTGCCTCAGCCTCCCACAGTGTTGGGATTACAGGCGTGAGCCACCGCACCTGGGCTCCTTTCCCATATTTATACCCTTAAATTTTTTTCTGGCCTTACTGCATAGCTAGATCTCTAAGACAATAAATATTAGCAATGATAACTGCCTTGTTCCTGTCTTTAATGCTTATCAATTATTGTAATCTTACTAAAACAGAAACCCCTTCCATAGCATCCTAGATAGGTGATCATTCAGCCTCCACTGGGATGCTCAGAGTGACTGCTAATCACCTTACAAAGCTACTTGCTCCATTTTTACCCAGCTGTGTTGGAGAGAGCTTCCTCCTTTAATCATTAACATAGTCATTTATTCTAAATCAGAGCTTGTGTTGCCCTCTGTGTCTCCTTCTAGAGATGTTCTTCTTCAGGTGGAGCCTCACCTTTGGAAATAAACACTCTGCCTGGCCCCATCCCACTCTCCACCCCCCAGTTTTGGGAGAGAATCGTTTTCTTAGAGAAATCTAGGGAAGCAGCAGCATTAGGGCAAAGGTGTGGTAAAATTCACTCATTCATTCAGCACATGTTACTAGGCACCTAGTCAGTGCTAGGAACTGGGCGTAGAGAGTTTAAAAACAAAAAAAAGACACAGTCCCTGCCTTGAAAGAGCTATCTAGTTGGGAGTACAGATACATAAAGTAAGATACTGTGTGTGATCTGGGAGCACACATGAGAGAGCAACTGACTCTGCCCACAGTTGGGGAAGACTTCACATTTGAACAGGATCTTGAAGGATGAATAGTTAGTAAAGGAAAGAAGGGATGAGAGATGGGCTTTCAAACAGCAGTAAAAGAACATGCAGAAACAGAGCCTGAGGAGCAAAGGGTAGTAAAAGTGGAGTGGTGACAAGCCTTGTACAGATGTCTGAGCAGTGGGTTGGAGCCTGCTGGAGGTCCAGTGTCCTGTGTCCTTCCTCCAGTGGTGATAGCCCTCCTGTGCATGAGTGGATACCTGATCTGGAGAAACTGGAAGCGGAAGAACACCAAAAGCATGAATTTTGACAACCCAGTCTACAGGAAAACAACAGAAGAAGAAGACGAAGATGAGCTCCATATAGGGAGAACTGCTCAGATTGGCCATGTCTATCCTGCAGTAAGTATTTCTCACTGGGAGAATTCCTACCTTCCGACCATCTTCCCTTCCATCCTTTCTTCCCCTCCCATCCTTTCTTCCTTCCCATCCTTTCTTCCCTCCCTTCCTTCCTTCCGTCCTTCCCTCCCTCCTTTCCTTCCGTCCTTCCCTCCCTCCCTGTCTTTTTTCTTTCCTTCTTTCCTTCCTTTCCTCCCTCCTTCCCTTCCTCCTTCTTTCCTTCCTCAAACATTTATCAAAAACGCACCATGTATCAGGCACTGTTCTAGGCCCTGGGGAACACAGAAATGCTGGGGTAGGTGGTTAAGGTAAAAAGGTATCAGGACCACCTTGTACCTAGAGGCTCTTCCTGGCAGTAAAAAAAGCCAAATGTCTCTCTTTCTGCTCAGTAAATTTTCAGAACCTTTAGCCTGGAAGGGTAACTGTGGCCATTTAATTCAAATGTATTCATTTCAATACTGTATGCCAGTTATGTGCCAAGCACCACATTAGATATCAAGTATTCAAAAGTCAATAAGGAACATGCTTGCTCCCAAGAAGCTGGTAGGGAGTTAGAGATACTAACATACAGTGGTATAATTGTGTGCTGAATGCCGTGGTGGAAGCTCAGGAGTCCCCTCTTCTAGAAAGCTATCTTTGGCTTGCTTTGTTCTCCCACAGTACTCTGGGCCTCTCTACCTCACAGCCCCTGTCACACTGTAGTCCACTTGTCTTTTACTCAGTGGTCTCCTCACTAACCCATAAGATCCTTGAGGGCAGAACTGTCTGATTAATCTGTTTTCCTGATGCCTAGCACGGCATGGCTGACTCCCAACAAATATTTGTTGAACAGATGCCATGGAAACATCAACAAGGGAGCTATTAATTCTGTCTGGGGAATCAGGCAAGGAATGCCTCACAGAGAAGGTGACAGATGGACTATGTCCTTGAAAGATTAATAGCAGTTTTCCCGGGAGAGAAGGAGGGAAATGGCATTCCAGATAGAGGCATGTGCAAAGGCTTGAAGGTACAACACAGCATGGCTTTTTGGGGGAATGAGGACCACAAAGTGGCACAGCAGGTGTCACTGTTATACAGCACAGTCAGGGGGCTGAGTGTGACCTCAGAGGTCATCCACAGTGCCATCCCCCTGTCAGGCAATCAGCAGCTTTGATCGCCCACTGTGGGCAGAGCCCTGTCTTGGGGAGACCAGAGAACCGGAAGACCCAGCCCCTGCCCTCAAGGAGCTTTTTGTCTTGCCGGGGGAACCAAGGTCACAGCTGCACCAACTCCCGAAGAACCCTCTTTCCGAGCTGCCTGTCGTCAAATCCAAGGTAGGGCAGTGCCACTCTAAGTCTGAGGGGCTGGTGAGTGAGGGCATGAACCAAGGCAGGCGCAGCCAATCCTAGAAGGCTTTCTGGTTTGGGAAGGCTGCAAATTGTAAGCTGGGTGTTGGGGCAAAGAAGAAAAATGGGTTAGTCACAGACCAATGAATGGCATGTGGAAGAAAGCAATCAAGTTTGGGGCAGGGCAGACAGAATTGCTGCTGAGGCAAACTGTTCATGAAGGGGAGACATGGGAAATGAGATGGAGCAAATGAGGAGGGTTAGCAGATGGCCTTGAGGATCCTTAACCTCGGCCAGTCCAAAAAAATAGTTGCTTGACCAGTTTTTGAAGATCAGAGGGAGCACAGTGGAAGAAGCACTGAACTTGGAATAAGAAAACTCCCAGTTCCATCCTTCCACTGCCCTGTGATCTCAGTCACTTCTTTCTGCTCACTGTTATTTGTAAAATGAGAATAACAACCCCCATTCTACCTGCCTCCTGAGTTTATAAAGTACAAGTGAGATAGCACGTGTGAGAGCACTTTGTGACTTACAAAGCACTCTGCACATGTAAAGTGACATTATTTCCAGAGAAAGAAATGACTCAGGGGGAGTTACTCCCGATGAGTGTTAAGGACCAAGTAATAAGCTTCTGCCAGTTGCAGAGAAATAAGGAAATCAACATTTAGTGAGCACCTACTGTGTGTCAGACACTGTTCCCAGTGTTTTACATATATTTTCTCATTTAATCTTCATAATAACCTTATCAAGCTGATATTATTCGCCCCATTTTGCAGATGAGGAAACTGAGACTCATAGAAATTGAATAACTTGCCTAAGGTCATAGCCAGGAAGTGGCAGAACCAGAATTCAAACTCCAGTCTGTATATACACAAAAGCCCATGCTCTTTCCTTTATATCGTGAGGTAAATAGCCTTGAAGCTCTGGAAATCAATATTCTCAACAACCTGTCTCTCCTCTGTCCATTTCTCGGATAACTGTACCATCACTACTGGGGCCTATCTTTGGCCTAGAGATCTGTCTTAGAGAGAGTGGGAGGGTAGCTAGACTAGAATAAGATAGTCTTAAATATCTACACTGGTGGAGGATGGCCATTGCATTCATAAAAAAACTACAGATAACCCAAAGATGACTTGAAAGGCAGTAGAGTTACTTTTTATCATATGTAGAATGTCCAGAGATGGGAGATACTAGTCTGATTCTATTTTATGTTGGTTACGTTGACCTAGGATATTCTGGGCCCTATGTGTTGTTAGGTACTATGTTAAACACTCTCTGTGCATTATCTCATTTGATTCCTCAACAACCCTGTGAGGTAGGTCCTGTTACTATTCCCATTTGATAGATGATAAAACTAAGTCTCAGAGAAGTAAAGTGGCTGGCCCAAATTCACATAACTATGAGGAAAAGTACTGAAGCTGGGGAGGGTCTTTCCAAAGGAGGGTATCTGGGAAATGGAAAAGAGGCAAACAAGATTACATCAGGACTAGCTGGGGAAAGTTAGATGTGTACCCTGGAGAAGAAAACACTCAGAATGAACGGAAGGGAATTCAAACACCATCTATAAATTTCAAGGGTTGTCCTATGTAGAACTGTCTCTGAGTCTGAGATGGAATCAGGGAATGTCAGAAGATATAAACAAACAAATTTCACATTAATATAGGAAAGAATTTAAATCTGTTGTCCACAATGGAATAGACTGGTTCAGGGGTTAGTGGGCTCACCTTCCCATGGTCAGCCATTTTTGGCAGACAGGAGTCTAGCATCTACCTAATGACTGGAAAGCAGGGGTGAGGGAGAGAGGGATGGAATTTAATTAACCTGCATTGCCTCCCAACTGTGTTTAATCTGTTGGGAAGGTGCAGTATATTACCTTTCTAAATGTGATTAGCATGCTAGAGACAAGTAACCCCATAGCCTGAAATTTAACATTTGCCAAAGCTAACCCACTGAAATTGACCAAACCTAAAATCCTATAAGGGAGGATTAAGAAAATTTAGATCTGTGCAACTCTTCTTTACAAAGATACAAAACAGAATGATGAAAAAATCTACAGCTTTGGATTCATACAGACCTGGGATCAAATTTTAGTTCAGCCACTTGCTATGTGATCCAGAACAAACCCTACTTAAGCTCATTGAGTTTTGTTTCTCATCTGTAAAATAAATAGGATAAATCCTGTCTCTTAGGATAGTTTGAACATTATGTGAGCTAATACCTGTTAAAGTAACGTAAGTCTGTGATTTGTCAATACTAAATAAATAGTAACTCTTATGGATCTAATGATGAATTCTTTGGTTTGTCTCCCCAGCGAGTGGCATTAAGCCTTGAAGATGATGGACTACCCTGAGGATGGGATCACCCCCTTCGTGCCTCATGGAATTCAGTCCCATGCACTACACTCTGGATGGTGTATGACTGGATGAATGGGTTTCTATATATGGGTCTGTGTGAGTGTATGTGTGTGTGTGATTTTTTTTTTAAATTTATGTTGCGGAAAGGTAACCACAAAGTTATGATGAACTGCAAACATCCAAAGGATGTGAGAGTTTTTCTATGTATAATGTTTTATACACTTTTTAACTGGTTGCACTACCCATGAGGAATTCGTGGAATGGCTACTGCTGACTAACATGATGCACATAACCAAATGGGGGCCAATGGCACAGTACCTTACTCATCATTTAAAAACTATATTTACAGAAGATGTTTGGTTGCTGGGGGGGCTTTTTTAGGTTTTGGGGCATTTGTTTTTTGTAAATAAGATGATTATGCTTTGTGGCTATCCATCAACATAAGTAAAAAAAAAAAAAAAACACTTCAACTCCCTCCCCCATTTAGATTATTTATTAACATATTTTAAAAATCAGATGAGTTCTATAAATAATTTAGAGAAGTGAGAGTATTTATTTTTGGCATGTTTGGCCCACCACACAGACTCTGTGTGTGTATGTGTGTGTTTATATGTGTATGTGTGTGACAGAAAAATCTGTAGAGAAGAGGCACATCTATGGCTACTGTTCAAATACATAAAGATAAATTTATTTTCACACAGTCCACAAGGGGTATATCTTGTAGTTTTCAGAAAAGCCTTTGGAAATCTGGATCAGAAAATAGATACCATGGTTTGTGCAATTATGTAGTAAAAAAGGCAAATCTTTTCACCTCTGGCTATTCCTGAGACCCCAGGAAGTCAGGAAAAGCCTTTCAGCTCACCCATGGCTGCTGTGACTCCTACCAGGGCTTTCTTGGCTTTGGCGAAGGTCAGTGTACAGACATTCCATGGTACCAGAGTGCTCAGAAACTCAAGATAGGATATGCCTCACCCTCAGCTACTCCTTGTTTTAAAGTTCAGCTCTTTGAGTAACTTCTTCAATTTCTTTCAGGACACTTGGGTTGAATTCAGTAAGTTTCCTCTGAAGCACCCTGAAGGGTGCCATCCTTACAGAGCTAAGTGGAGACGTTTCCAGATCAGCCCAAGTTTACTATAGAGACTGGCCCAGGCACTGAATGTCTAGGACATGCTGTGGATGAAGATAAAGATGGTGGAATAGGTTTTATCACATCTCTTATTTCTCTTTTCCCCTTACTCTCTACCATTTCCTTTATGTGGGGAAACATTTTAAGGTAATAAATAGGTTACTTACCATCATATGTTCATATAGATGAAACTAATTTTTGGCTTAAGTCAGAACAACTGGCCAAAATTGAAGTCATATTTGAGGGGGGAAATGGCATACGCAATATTATATTATATTGGATATTTATGTTCACACAGGAATTTGGTTTACTGCTTTGTAAATAAAAGGAAAAACTCCGGGTATATGTATAGATGTTCTTCATTATAGACATCTTCTTTGCTTTTCTTGGCCTTGGGGGAGGAAGGGAGAAGTGCTCTTTTCTACTTGTGGGGTCTCCCATTGGAAACATAATCCTATAGTCCCAGAAGGATTCAGTCCCCAGTGGCTTTCCCATCCAAAGAGAAAGAGTTTGAGTTTCTTAACTCTGCTGTTCTGCCACTTACTCCCACTAGACAACCAGGGACAAGGTGCAACATGGAAGTGTTTGACTTAAGTAGGAGCAGAGGAGCTGCATCTAATCTCATCATACCTGGAACTTGACACACTTAAGCAAATGCCTTCCCATCCCTACCTGCCAGATGCCCCCAACTCAATGAAGTTGGATGTCTCACCAGCTTGATACCCTTTGAATTTTCAGTCAGACATTCTGGAGTTCTAGCATCCTGTACCTAGGACCTTCCTCTGTGTCACTCTTGGCCTCCTAAACTCTAAGAAAATAACTATATTCTGGAGCTTGGGCAGTGTGTTTTGCATAATCCAGCAATCTCCTCATGACATGCATGTGTTGATAGTCCTGAAACATTCATTGAGAGGGTAAATGCAGTTGACCTAGAATGACCAATACCAAACAGAATTTTAAGAACAGGTGGCCAACTCCTATGGAGCTTACTCACATATTACTATTCTTTTAAGAACGGAAAGTAAAATTATTTTTGACTGAAGAAAAATGATGACAGTGAAAAACATGGAAATGTACTCAAAACAAGTGACTTTTTCTGTAACCTTCCAAAGAAACTGAATTTTCCAAGGAATTAAATGATAACAGTGGCTAAGGCATAGTTTCTAAACTTTCAGTAAGATCCTGGCATTCACAGAAAAAAATGATGAATGGGGTCTGGACATACAGCCTGAGATCTCAAAATGACAATGAAATTCACAACTTTTTCTCAGAGACATTCATGTTTCCTGCATATGCTACAACTGCAGTTTGAAAGAGGCAGCAATGGGAGCAACCCTTTACAAGAAACAAATTGTGATATATTCATGTGTTGGACGGCAGTAAATAAGATGAAACCTGAGGAGTCAGATCCACCTTCCCCCATTCATAGAGGCTTTTCAGCCTCATTTTGAGGTACAGTTACATATCTTTTGCCTTTTGCCCCCGTGCATAGCTATCTACAGCCAATCACAGATCACAGAGTCACTGGACTATAGAGCTGGAAGGAAGCTCAGAGACAATGCCAAGGGGGCAGAAAATTTATCAGAAGCCAGTCCCAGTGCGTTTCCTCCATTTCCTTCTGCAGGAAGACTATTTTGGGCTGCCTGAACATTGTATCAAACCTGCTACCTATACTATGGTCTACCTTTCCTCCAGTGGAATTACAAAGGCACTAACTGAAATGCCTTCTAGAAACAGAGAAAACGAAACTGTACTTATTTACTCTTGATACACAGATTATTTATAAAACAGATTGAAGTAACCTGTTAACTGGCAAAAAGAGAATGAGATCGGATTTAAATGTATGGCAGTAAGTCCTATTGATCCCTCCAGTTATCTCAGTATGACTGCAGTATATTCATTCACTAAAACCACTCACTAGATACCAACTACACACCTGGCACTGCAGATGTAAAGGTCAGTCACACATGTTCTGACTTTACAGAGTTCACAGTAGCAGTGGAGGATGATATATGTGGAAACAAAAAAGGCATTGATTCTATTCAGAGCACTGTTAGGGCTCAAAGGAGAGAGGGGTCTTTCCACCTAAGAAATGAGGAATAGGGTCATCATAGAAGTGACCTTAAGTCTTAAAAATTAAGAAGGGGATTCCAAGCTGCTTCAGACAGAGACACATCGAGCTAAAACACAGAGGTATGAAAGAGCACAGGGACTTTAGGAATTGCACAGTTCATTCTAACAGGAACAAAAGGCTCAAGGGGGGCAAGAAATGAGGCTGTATGGAAAGAGATTCAATGTAAGCACTTTATAAAATAGATTAATTTCTGATTCAATGAAGCATTTCTTGATCATTGTGTACAAGGCACTACATGCATCATGGAAAATTCATTAGGATGCATTGCCAGCACTTTGCAGAACTGATATTATTCAGCCTCAAGCTTTCCAGTGGCCAAAGGGAAATGCTGACTGCTTTTCATATATTTGAGTCAAAGATTTTTTATATGGTCAATGAAGACTAATATAAGGGCAGTGGGATTTTCACAGATGCATGCCATGTTGTCGAGAGCCTCTTAGATTTTCTCAACTGTGAGAAAGAAAAACGAAAATGTTGAAGACGTTGAGTCTGGAGAGGGGATACTAATCACTGTCCAGTTGGGCACTGGTGGGAATGGGGAAATGGCACAGGAATGCAAGCCTCTCCACCCTACCCCCCGAACTCCAGCCATACACTCATCGTTTCACAAAATATAAATGAGTTAGCATTAAATGTTTCAGAGTAAATAATTCCTTTTCCCGAAATGCATGAAGATAGAGTAACAGACTTCTCACACTGTATTTTTAGGGTATGGAGAATTTAGAAGGTTAAAGAATTACTGCTTCAATTTTTCAGTTAAAAAAAAATCAGGAAGCTCTGTTCATTCAGGCTATGCACCATGTGCACAGTCAAGAATTAGCAGAAACCCTCTGCATTTACAAACACTTTGTGCTATAAAAAAGTAATTTTTAAAAAGCCACGTGTGTGTGTGTGTATATATATATATATATATATATTTAAAGCCAAGGTTTTGATACTTTTTTACAAAAACTACAAGAGAAAACAAATATACCTGTCCAAACCATATACTTTTAAAAGAGCATTTTTTTTTCCATACAAGCTGTTGTTAATTTGGGGGTAAAGTGCTGATTTGCAAACTTCATCAAATTGTTCCCAAGTGGATTCTCCTTGTTTGTCTCCCCCTACCAACCCCAAAGTTACCATATTTGATGTAAGAATCAGGCATGTTAGAATGTTGTGTCACACTAACTGATTCTGCTCTTTTTGTCTTGTCATTCAAGTTCCGTTAGCTTCTGTACGCGGTGCCCTTTGCAGTCTGGTGTCTCTTCCAGAGGCGAGGGGGCTGAGGATGGGGTGCTGCATCTCACTAGCTATACTGGCATCATCTTGGTAAACTGAAAACCAAATGTGGACATTTGTAAAATCAGTGCACTGTTTCTAGAGAGAGATTAAATTCATTTAAAAAAAATCTTTTAAGTTTTGTTTCATTGTAATACTTTAATGAGGGGGAGTGAACTATTACTGAGTCCCTAATGTGTACCAGTATTCTATATAAATTATCCCAATCTTTGTCAACAATTCGGTGAGATAAATACTATCAATACTATCCACTCCCATTTTATAGATGAGAAAATGGGCAAAGTAACTGCCCAAAGTCACAAGGTTATTTTTAGTGCCCCCAAAGAGCAATTGTACATGTAGCATTCTCTGCCTAAATTTTCCTTCTCTGCCTCCACATGACTAACTCCTATTTGTCCTTGAGTACTCCACTTAGGTAATGCCTCCTCCAGGAAGCCTTCCCTTTTCTCTAAGACTAGGTTAGATAACTCACCTCTGTACTTCGATAACAATTTTTGCCTACTTGCATCCCAATACTTCTGCCTTACCATTCATTCCCATGCCATTGGGGTTGCTTTTGCCAAGGTCATCCAGGACCTCCTCGATTATAAATCTGGTAAACATTTTCAGTCTTGCTCTTCCTTGACCTGGAAGCAGTAGTTAACACTGTTAGCCACTCTTTTCTTGGCATATTCTTATTTTGGCTTCCATGATAACATTTCATGTTTTTTCTCCTATCTCTCTGGCCACATCTTAGTATCCTTTGCCTACCCCTTAAATTATGGTATTCCATCTCAAATCCATCCACTTTTCTATCTCCATTACTTTTTTTTTTTTTTTTTTTTAAGAGACAGGGTCGTACTCTGTTACCCAGGCTGGAGTACAGTGGTAGGATCATAGCTCATTGCAACCTCCGCCTCCTGGGCTCAAGCAATTCTCCTGTCTCAGCCTCCCGAGTAGCTGGGGCTACAGGTGCACGCCACCCTGCCCAGCTAATAGATTACTTAAACTACTTATCTGAATGTCATACTTCTAGTCTTTTCATTTTCCAATCTAACCTACAAGACTGCAGCCAAAGTGTCTTTCTAAAGTACCATAGATGTATCACCACCACTTCTTTCCACTTTCCTGCTTAAAGCTCTTCAACTGCTTTGCTGGCACAAAAATCCAATATTCTTGGGTTTGCCCAAACTCTTTTAATATGGCTTATAAAACCCTTCATGATTTGGCTTCTGCCCTGTCTCCAGCTTCATCACTCACTACTCTATATTCTAATCACACAGTTCTGGGCCTCCGTCTGGAACATTTCCTTCAGGAACATTTCCCTAAGGACCCTGCACTGGATTAGGAGTCACCTCATGTGCTTCCATAGTCCTCTGTGCTTCCTTTATTGGTAATCTTATCCTTACATTGTAATTGCTTGTATGCTCCTTAACTGCCTCCTCTGCAAGCTCTGTGAACAACTGTCTTGCTCAACATTGTATCCTCTCTGCACATGACACTCAGTGGATGCTCAAATAAATGATGCTGAATGCAGGCACTGCAGACACACAGACCATGCTCTTTCAGTTACACCATGTCTCATATCCAGAAACCTGGATTACTTCACAGCCTGACTGGAGTTGTGTGTCCTTTAAATTTCTCAACACTTTTGTTATTTGCCACATCTGAAGATCCCCAGATTCACTTATGATTTTTATAATTTTACTCCTGGAAAATAACCTTGTAGCAATTGCTTAATCCCTCTACATACTTAACTCTAATTACCACCTCAAGATTGTTGTGATGATTCAAAGAACAAGCACAGGTAATCCCATTGACCCTAGGGGCTGACATTTATTAGGTGCTTGATACCTGGTCCCTTTTCTTTTTTTCTCTTTTTTTTTTTTTTTGAGACAGGGTCTTGCTTTGTCACCCAGGCTGGAGTGTAATGGTGTGATCATGGTTCCCTACAGCCTCGACCTCCCAGGCTCAAATTATCCTCCTACCTCAGCCTCCCAAGTAGCTAGGACTACAGGTGTGCACCACCACACCTACCTATTTTTTAAATTTTTTGTAGAGACAGTCTCCTATGTTGCCCAGGCTGGTCTCAAACTCCTGGGCTCAAGTGATCCTCCTGCCTCAGCCTCCCAAAGTGCTGGGACTACAGGTATGAGCCACTGTGTCTAGCCCCCTTCTCGTTTATACAATTCCCTTGTTACCACCCATATCCAGTGTTTTGTAATAAAAATGTCTTATGGTTTTACAGCAATTTAGTTTCCGAGACATTGTTTCTTACAACAGTTCTGCTAGGTGTACATTATTATGCTCATTTTAAAGAGAAGGAAACTGAAGTCTAAAAAGTTGAGTCGGTTCACCTTTGGTTACAATGAGTCATTGTTACACAGGGATTATTTTAACCTGTGTCCAGTGATTTTTCCCCCACCACACCTACTCTACACTCTGCTGCTAATGCTTTTGCAGGGAGAAAAGGACTCCGTGTTAAGACTGAGGGCCGGGCGCGGTGGCTCATGCCTGTAATCCCAGCACTTTGGGAGGCCGAGGCAGACGGATCGCCTGAGGTCGGGAGTTCGAGACCAGCCTGGCCAACATGGTGAAACCCCGTCTCTACTAAAAACAGAAAATTACAAAAATTAGCTGGACATGGTGGCGCATGCCTGTAATCCCAGCTACTTGGGAGGCTAAGGCAGGAGAATCACTTGAACCCAGGAGTTTGAGACCAGCGTGGGCAACATAGGGAGACTTTGCCTCTACAAAAAGTTTAAAAATTAGGTAGGCGAGGTTGCGGTGAACTGAGATCACTCCATTGCACTCCAGCCTGGGCAACAAGAGCGAAACTCCGTCTCAAAAAGAAAAGACTGGGAATAGGAATCAGAGACTGCTGTCCCAACTTACAGAATCGTATACAGTTCTAGCCGCCAGGACCCAAGAATGATGTCATCTCGGCACTGTCTCTAGAACCATTCATTCTTTCTAAGCCTGGAACTTAGATGAGTGAAAGCAGGTTCCTATTACATAATTATGATCTTGATTGCCCTGGGCCTACTCAACTGTAAATTTTTTCCAGAGCCAGAAAGGCTTCACAGAGGACAACTTTACCCTGAAAAGAAAGGACCTCTTTGGTCAGTGGTCCTCAACTCTGACTCACCTGAAAGCTTTACAAAAAGTACCAATGCCCAGGTCCAGCGCTGGAGATTTTAACTGGCTTGGGGTAGAGCCCTGGCATCAGTATTTTTAGAGGCTTCCCAAGTGATTGCAATGTGCAGCCAGGCAGAGAATTACTGCTCGGTAAGTGGGATGACTGGGGAGTGGGAGATCAAATACTCTAACGTCTCCCAGCACCTATTCTAGAGATCAGTGGGGCAGAAAGGTAGAAATAAAAGGTGGAAAGGGATGAAATGGGTAAGTGTGGGTGAATTAGTTCCAGGAAAACGGCAATCTCCACTGTGGATTCAGGGAAGGCGTCACTGAGGAGGGCTTTCTTAACAGTTCAGGTCAGTGGAAGCCAACTTGAGGCACACATCGTGCGCGGCATCCTCCGGGGAGGTCGGGTCATTTCACCCCATTTTACTGCCGAGATGACCTAGGTCCAGAGACGGTAAAGAGCGGTGTACGACTCACACAAGTCGGGGGTCCTGTGAACCGAGGTTGAGCCTGGCGGGCCTTCGGCCCGAGGTCTTTAAGCGAAGTCACCAGACCCGGGGTTCAAAGCCCAGAGGTAGGCAGGCGGCTGGCTCTCCGCCTCAGGCCTGGAGAGAACCCAGGGGTATGAACCTCAACCTCGCTCCCGCGTCCAGCTGGAGGGGCGGAGCTGGCTGGCCCCGCCTCCGGGTTAAACAAAGTTCTTTACAGACTAGGCGTGAGGGGATGTTGCAGTCTTGTTGCCACTTCCGGGCGAAGAGGTTAGCGAGAAGGAACCCCTCCACGCAGCGACGACGGGACCTGACGTCACTTCCGCGCGCCGCCGCAAACGTCAGTGTCGGGCGCAGACGGCGGCAGTGCGGCTTGCTCTTGGAAGTTCAGGCTCGGTTGTCTTTTGGGAGCCATGGAGAGTGACTTTTATCTGCGTTACTACGTGGGGCACAAGGGCAAGTTCGGCCACGAGTTCCTGGAGTTTGAGTTTCGACCGGACGGTAAAAGCAGCCTGCCGCCCGCCGGGAGCGGGGACCAGGCCTGGGGGCCGGCGAGTGGGGAGGCCGAGGGTCGGAAATCTGTGGGGAACTAGAGGAGGGAGGGACTGAGACCTGTGCAGTGCAGATCTTAAAGGAACGCCACTGTGTCTGCTCCACGGGGTCTTTCTATCCATTCAGCAAACGTTGACTGAACGCCCACTGTGTGCCAGGCTCTGTTCCACTCTTTGGGAATACGGCAGCGAAGGTAGACAAACTTCCCCTCTCGTGGAACTTGTGTTTTACTGCCGGGAGAGAGATCATAAACAAAAAGATGATTCCAGATAGCAGTGAGTGGTCAAAAAATAACATGGTAGAATAATTGCTGGATGGGCTGCTTTTAGATAGGTTGGCCATTAGAGAGCTCTCTGTAAAGGGTATATTGCAGCCGAGTCCTAATTAACAAGAAGGGCTCAGCCTTGTGAAGCTCATAAGGAAGACCATTCTACACAAAGGGAATACCAGATGTCAAGGCTGCAGGGCGGGAATGAGCTAGGCGTGTCTCAGGTGGTCAGTGTGGTTGAAGAGTGGTGAGCTGGGAGATAGCAGGAGATGATGTCGGATAGGTAGGTAGGAGCGGCACCTCTTAGGTCTTTATAGACCACGGTAAAAAGTTTGGACTTGGAAGGCCTTTTTTTTTTTTTTTTTTTTGAGACGGCTTTCGCTCTTTTTGCCCAGGCTGGAGTGCAATGGCGCGATCTCGGCTTATTGCAACCTCCGCCTCCCGGGTTCAAGTGATTCTCCTGCCTCAGCCTCCCGAGTAGCTGGAATTATAGGCGCCCACCACCACGCCCGGCTAATTTTGTATTTTTAGTAGAGACGGAGTTTCACCATGTTGGCCAGGCTGGTCTCGAACTCCTGACCTCAGGTGATACGCCCGCCTCGGCGTCCCAAAGTGCTGGGATTACAGGTGTGAGCCACCGCGCCCGGCCGGGCTTGGAAGGTTTTAAGCAGAGAAGAAATGTGATCTCTTCTTGAAAAAGCATTCTGGTTATTGGGTGCGGAATGGGCAAGAGTGGAAACAGGGCTATTGATTAGGAGACTGTTGCAGTTGTCAAGACACGAAAGATGTTGGGGGCCGGGCGCGGTGGCTCAAGCCTGTAATCTCAGCCCTTTGGGAGGCCGAGGTATGCGGATCACTTGAGGTCAGGAGTTCAAGACCAGCCTGGCCAACATGGTGAAACCCCGCCTCTACTAAAAATACAAAAATTAGCCGGGTGTGGTGGCAGACGCCTGTAATCCCAGCTGCTCGGGAGGCTGAGACAGGAGAATCTCTTGAACCTGGGGCGGAGGTTGCAGCAAGCTGAGATAGTGCCACTGTACCCCAGCCTGGGTGACAGAGCAAGACTCTGTCTCAAAAAAAAAAAAAAAAAAAGATACTGGTTGGGACTACAGAGATAGTAGAAATGGAGAGAAAGATTTAGGAAACTGTTGGAGGCAGAACCAACTGGACTTTGATCGTTGATAGGATTTTGTTGGCAGAGGCACTGTGGTGAAGGAAAGAGCAATCAAAGATGACAGAAGACATCCACTAAGTGGGGCACAAAGATGAATCTGACAGGCCTCGACTGTGAGGGAGATAGATTTGTAAGCAGTGATAAAACAGCACATTAGGTGTTGTGGTAAAAAGAAACAGAGGAGGCTCGCAGCAGAGAAGGGTGCACCTAACCAAGCCTGAGGGTCAGAGGAGGCTTCCTACATAAAATGATGGGAGGAGGGGATGTGAGGAATTGGTTAGGAGACGAAGAAGAGTCAAGAAGGCATTTTAGACAGCATGCAAAGAAGCTGAAAACCAAAAAGTGCTTGGGATGTTTCAGGCAGAAACCAAGTAGTTTGACTTCAGCTGTGTGAGAGAAGAATATTGGCAGGAATGAGGCTGGAAAAGCAGGCAGGGGCTTAGCTTAGCTGTATGCCATGTTGAGGAGTTTGGATTTTACCAGGAAGGCAGTGGAAAGCCATTGACTTTATCAAAGTATTAGAGTAACCTAATCTGATAGATCTGTTACCACATCACCTTGTCCACTGTATGGACAGTGAACTGAATGTGAAGAAACTTGAGGCAGAGAGACAGCACAGAGGCTGTTGGAATAAATTCACTGGGCTCATCTCACATGTATGTCTTCTAGTCTACATGTCTTCTATTTCCTTCTGTCTTCTCCTCATCCCCACCATTAATCTGTCAGATGCACACATGGGCAAAGGGTCTTGTGTACCAAATGTGCTCAGTGATAAAAGCAGCAGCTTCTCCATCACAGAAATAGAGTATGGCACAGTCACATGATAATATATGTAAACTGCATCCTACAGTTTTCAAAATGTTTTCACAGCTCATTTGAGCCTCAGGAGGTCCTATGTGTCGGTAAGTTATCAGTTACTAGGCCTGTTTTCAGGACATTCACCTGCAAAAATGTGATTTGACAAAGTCAGAAAAGAGCCTGCCTGTGTTTATACCCCACCTGAGCTGCTTTTTGCAGTAGTTGAGTTTCAGCTGTATATTTGGCTGTTTAAGCCTGAAGTGAAGAACTGAAAAGACTAGTATTGTTGAAATACCTTAAGAGTAAATAATAAATCTGTTAGACACTTTTAGCAAGTTAGATACATTTTGGGCAACTGCTGATGCCTTGGCATGGTATTGATGCTTTATTCATATGTTTTTATTATACGTTGAAATTGTTTTTTGCCCCCACAGGGAAGTTAAGATATGCCAACAACAGCAATTACAAGAATGATGTCATGATCAGAAAAGAGGTATGAGCCTTCTGCCTTCTGAGAGTCCTTCATTTGCTACATTTCAGCTTTTTGTCTTGCATTGTTTTTATTGTTTCTAGTAGTATTGAAAGATAAAGAACAGGGAGAGAGACACATGTCTGTAGACAGCTTCTGGATTATTTCCCAAATCATCTTTTAGTTGGGATTTTTTTATTTTACATTGTGGAATCAATTACTGGTAACCTTTGACATACCTTGGTTTGAACCCTGAGTCTGCTGCTTACTACCCCATGTGACCTTGGGCAAGTTCCTGGCTGAACTTGATAAATCTCTGTTTCTTCACCTGTAAAAACAGGAATAATAAAAGCTACCTCCCACTCCCAAGTGCTGTCATAAAATTAAATATGTTCTATTTAAAGTGCTCTATATTCCCTGTGTACATGGTACACAATGAAGAGCTATTTAATTTACATCTGAGTGGGAAAGGGAGCATGGGAAAGCAGTTGACATCATTGAATGCATGTTAGATGTCAGGCGTGGCATCTTATTTAACCCTGATTGTAAGCCCATGTGATGGGGGAGGGTATTATAGCCCCCTTACAAATAAGAAAATAAAGGCCCAGGTATTAATTATGAGGCTTGTTCTGAGTTACCCCTGCTAGTAAGAGATACAGCAGGAATTCCCAATCCTGCCCCAGTAAAGTTTGTATTCTCCGTTCTGTGATTTCTACTACATCATTAAGGCTTCATCAAAGCTACTCTTTCCTTTTAACCACTTTGCCACCTTTGAAAATGTCTTAGCATATATTTTCATATTGTTATTTTAGCTATTGATTTTATGCTTATTCACACATGTCAATATCCTCACTATTTTTTTACACAGGCATATCTTTTAAAATACATTTTGCTCCTCAGGAGTGTATTACCTAGTTAAGAATAACTGGCCGGGCGCGGTGACTCACACCTGTAATCCCAGCACTTTGGGAGGCCGAGGCGGGCGGATCACGAGGTCAGGAGATCGAGACCATCCTGGCTAATACGGTGAAGCCCTGTCTGTACTGAAAATACAAAAAAATTAGCCAGGCATGGTGGCGGGTGCCTGTAGTCCCAGCTACTTAGGAGGCTGAGGCAGGAGAATGGCATGAACCCAGGAGGCAGAGTTCGCAATGAGCCGAGATCGCACCACTGCACTCCAGCCTGGGCGACAGAGCAAGGCTCCGTTTCAAAAAAAAAAAAAAAAAAGAATAACCAGGGCATGTGGGTGTCGCAGTCTCTTTTTTGCTGCAACAAAATGCCTGAGACTGGGTAATTTGTAAGCAGTAAAAATATATTTCTCACAATTTTGGAGGCTGGAAAGTCCAAGATCAAGGCGCTGGCAAGTTCAGTGTCTAGTGAGGGCCCAGTCTCTGCTTCCACAACTGTGCCTTGTTTTTGCATCCTCCAGAAGGAATGAATGCTGTGTCCTCATATGGTGAAAGAACAAGAAAGGGGCCAGCTAGTTCCCTTAAGCTCTCTCCTAAAGCACTAATCTATCCCTGGGGCCTCTGCCCTCAAGGCCTGATCACCTCCTAAAGGCCCTATCTCTTAACACTGTTGCTTTGGGGATTAATTTCAGTATGATTTTTTTGGAGGAGACAAAAACATTCAAACCATGGCAGGGGGCACTCACAGACCTGTTTTGGGTTTCGTTGTGAGTTGGGTATGTGGGCAGGCAGAAGGGCCATGTGAACAGGATGTACCAGGAGGTAGTAACAGCTAGATAGGGGACTGAGGTGCAGTTACTGGATACTTCTGACCGTGTCCCTCACCTGCATCATGCCGAGGTTGAGCATGAATGTCTTCCCACTTAAGGAGATGCCAGAAATAAGTCTGCAGGAACAGTTATTTTTATCTTCCATCACTATCTGAGTCAAAGCACTGCTTAAGGATACAACATACATTTTGTTTTTTAACTTGCGTTCAGGCTTATGTACATAAAAGCGTGATGGAGGAACTGAAGAGAATAATTGACGACAGTGAAATTACCAAAGAGGATGATGCATTGTGGCCTCCTCCTGACCGAGTGGGCCGGCAGGTGTGTTTTATTGATTATCCTGTAGTGCAGAAATCTTACAAATAAGACCCCCCACACTCCCTCCTCCACTTAAAGCTTTTGTTGCCTATCTCACTTACTAACTACTATGGACAAAGCATTGTGGAGATACAAAGAGAAATAGAACATAATTATTTCAACAATCTAATGAAAGGAAAATCATACAAATAATTCAGTGTATGTATTTAAATTCATGTATATTTATATACATTAATGTATATATTCATTCTGAGCACCATTTTGGTAACTAAAAAATAAAAGCCACTGTCATATTGAACTGAATTAACAGAAAAGGTATTTTCACTCTTGACTGCTACCATCCTAATCCAGACTTCTAATAGATTTCCTTGTTTTTCCTCTTGTTCCATACCATCCATTTTTCCATCCTGAAAGCCAGTGTGATTTATTTATTATTTTTTTTTTGAGTTGGAGTCTCGCTCTGTCGCCCAGGCTGGAGTGCAGTGGCATAATCTCAGCTCACTGTAACCTCTGCCTCCTGGGTTCAAGCGATTCTCCTGCCTCAGCCTCCCGAATAGCTGGGATTAC
Source organism: Homo sapiens (assembly GCF_000001405.40). Lineage (NCBI taxonomy): Eukaryota > Metazoa > Chordata > Mammalia > Primates > Hominidae > Homo > Homo sapiens. The sequence continues at coordinate 53,232,977 of NC_000001.11, read as the reverse complement.
AGGCGTCCTCCACCATGCCCAGCTAATTTTTGTATTTGTAGTAGAGATGGCGTTTCACCATGTTGGCCAGGCTAGTCTCAAACTCCTGACCTCAGGTGATCCGCCTGCCTTACCCTCCCAAAGTGCTGTGGTTACAGGCGTAAGCCGCCGCATCCTACTGGTCTGATCTTTAAAAACGTAAATTTGCTTATGTATTCCACTGATTTAAACTCCAATGGCTTCCCACTGTACTTAAAATTCAAACTCCCACCTTATCTTTTACCGGGCTTCCAATCTGTCATGGTGTTCAAACCTTACTAGCTTCATTTCTGTTCCTCAGACATACCTAGGTGGTTCTTACTTCAGGGCCTTTGCACTTGCCACATTCCGCCTAAAATATTCTTCCTTTAACTTTATACAAGACTGTCTCTATTATTGAGGTCTTCAAAAGTCACTTCCTCAGTGATGTCTTGCCTGTCCATCCAATCTAAGAAGTCGCTTCCCATCATTAAGAAAAAGATCTGTTGTGTTGTCTTTTTGTGTTTTTTTTTCTTTTTGCTTTCAGTTTTATCACAATATGTGTTGTCTTTGTAGCACTTGCTATTGTCTAAAATTGTCTTACTTGCTTTTCAGTGTTTTCCACTGCTGTATCTCTAGTGACTAAAATAGTACCCATGTATAGTAAAAGCTCAATAATAATGTATTTGTTAAATTAATATGAAAACCCATATAAACTCATTCCTAATAATCTCAAAATGATGGACCAACCCTTGAAGAGTTTTTTTTAAAAATCCACCCTCAGTACTTACTAAAGTTAACTTTAATTTATGTTCAAGGGAGCTCAGTAATATCATATATATGTATTTTGCTTTACCACTTATAAAATTTTTATTTCTATTAACTCGTTCTACCATCACAACAATTCTGTAAAGAGGGAAGGGCATATTCCTTTGTACCAGCAATAAGCCATTGGATACTGTAATTAAAATCAATTCCATTAATAATTGCAAGAAGAGTTATAAAGAACTTGGGAATGCATTTAACAAGATGTACAAAACTTGAAAGGGCTTTATAGAAGGACAAAAATATGTATCGTTTTTGTGGATGGCAAGATTCAGTATCATAAAGATGTCAGTTTTCAACAAAGTAATTTATAAATTCACTCTTAATTCAAATAAAAATCGCAGTAGGATTTTTTTCCCTTTAGAATCAAATAGAATGAGCATTAAATTCATGGAAAATCAGAGGCAAGAGTAGCCAAAATAATACTGGAAATTTCTTACAAAGCTGTGGTCATTTGTAGTATGATATTGCCTCGGGAATTGACAGCTAAACCAATGGAACAGAATAGAGAGCCCAGAAACCAACCTATGAATATATGGAAACTTAGAAAAGTGTGCTACAGAGGTGGACTTTCACATTAATGGGAAAAGAACGAATTATTTAACAAATTGTACCAGGACAGCTGACAATGTATTTATGGAATATTTTTAAAATTAGGCCATAGAAATCAAAAATTTTAAACAGAATATAGACTTGTATTATTTCTGGGTAGAGAAGGAGTTTTTAAAACTCCTTAAGGGGTAAGATTGGTAAATTTGACTTCTTTACAACTTAGGTTTGACAAAAGATGGCAAGATAAAGTTGAAAGATAAGCCATAGACTGGAAGAAGTTATCTGCAAAACATAAAACTGGCAAGAGTTCTCCATCCAGAATATATAAAGAATTACAAATTAATAAAAAGACTGTCCCGTGGCAGAATGTGCAAAGGTTATGAATAGATAACTTACAAGATCAAACAAGTGGCTAATATGAAAAGATTTACGGCTTCATTTGTAAAATGAAAGGACAACAGTGAGATACCATTTCAGACCCATTAGAATAAAAACAGAAAAAAATCTGCCGAATTTAAAAAATGATATGAGAAAAGAGTGAGAATAAAATTAGTATAACCGCGTTAGGGAGTAATTTTGTGGCATCTGGCAGCATTTAAAATACTAGGAATTATATGGAGACATATTCACATGTACAAGGAGATGTATAGAAGAATATTCTTGCTACATTGTTTATAGGAATAAAAATTTAAAACTTAAGTTTATTTCAGTAGGGAAATGGAATACCACAAGCATTTAAAACTAATGAGCTAGATCTGTGTAACTCAACATTGATAAATCTCGAAAACAATGTGGAATGAAAAATGTAAAAAGTATGTATAATAAGACCATTTTGTAAAAATTTTAAAGCACACTACCACGTCTAGGCCAGGTGCAGTGACTCATGCCTGCATTCCCAGCACTTTTGTTCTTAATTGGGAGGCCAAGGTGGGAGGATGACTTGAGGCCAGGAGCTCAAGACCAGCCTGAGCACAGTGAGACCTTTTTTTCTACAAAGAAAAAAAAAAAAACCCTAAAAATTAACTGGGCGTGGTGGCGCATACCTGTAGTCCTAGCTATTCGAGAAGCTAAAGGTGCAGTATAGCATGAGCCCAGGAGCTCAGGGTTACAGTGAGCTATGATCCTACTACTATACTTCAGCTTCAGTGACAGAGTGAGATCCTGTATCTAAAAAGAAATAAGTAAAAACATACTACCAAATCTGAAACAAGAGTGGAACAAATCGGGATACAGGAGGGAGAACAGAATGGGAGATGGACATAAACTTTGTAATATTTTACTTCTTTTTTAAAAAAAATCTGACACAAGTATGGCAATAATTTATAAATCTGAGTATTGGAAACATCTCAGTTTTTTCGATTTTCTGATTGAATTATAACAAAAAGGATATATGAATCAAAAAGAAGAAAAAGTAAATAGGCCTCACAAGAATATGAATTCCACAGGGCAGAGATCTTTGGTTTGCTTGGTTTTACTTATCTGTCCAAAGCACTGAGAACAATAGCCAGCACCCAGTAGGCTACACATAGATACTTTTTGAAGGTTATGGTACTCATGTCACTGTTTGGAAATTGAGATCCAACATCATACATGTAGGGAGTGACAAAGTGGGGATCAAACCTAAGGTCTGGAAGTTGCCTAGATAGATTAGATTCTTTGGTTTTTGTTTTTGTTTGTTGTTGTTGGAGACAGGGTCTCACTCTGTTGCCCAAGCTGGAGTACAGTGATGAGATCATGGCTCACTGCAGCCTTGACCTCCTGGGGTGAAGGAATCCTCCCACCTCAGCCTCTCTAGTAGCTGGGACCACGGATGCACACCACCACACCCAGCTAGTTTTCGTATTTTTTGTACAGATGAGGTTTAGCCAAGTTGCCCAGACAGGTCTTAAACTCCTGGGCTCAAGTGATTCTCCTGCATTGGCCTCCCAAACTGCTGGGATTACAGGTATGAGTCACCACACCCAGTCCAATTGTTTGGTATTTTTAAAACATAGGTGTATTCATGTTACTCCACATTGTTGACAATGAAAACTCATACAAAATACTACATAGGCTGGGCGCAGTGGCTTATACCTATAATCCCAGCACTTGAGAGGCTGAGGCAGGCGGATCACCTGAGGTCAGGAGTTCGAGACCAGCCTGGCCAACATGGCGAAACCCTGTCTCTATTAAAAATACAAAAAAATCCATCCTGGCTAACACGGTGAAACCCCGTCTCTACTAAAAATACAAAAAAAATTAGCCGGGCGTGGTGGCGGGCACCTGTAGTCCCAGCCACTCAGGAAGCTGAGGCAGGAGAATCGCTTGAACCTGGGAGGCGGAGGTTGCAGTGAGCCGAGATCATGCCAGTGCACTCCAGCCTGGGCAACAGAGTGAGACTCTGTCTCAGGAAAAAAAAAAAAAAAACCTACATAGATTTTTCCAAATCTGAGAAATGGTAGGGCCTTAAGGGTACAACTTCTTCTAAATATGAGCTGTATTTATCTCTTGTTTCTAGTGCCCAGCACAGTTTAGTGCTCAGAGTGAACTGCCCTTGTTTTTGTGGCCATCTGTAGTCAAGTTTGTGTGATTTGGCAAATGATTAATCCTTCTGTGTGCTTGATGAATAATCCAATTCTACTTGACTTCGATTTTCTAAAATGTTTCTAGGAGCTTGAAATCGTCATTGGAGATGAACACATTTCTTTTACAACATCAAAAATTGGTTCCCTTATTGATGTCAATCAATCCAAGTAAGTGTGCATGATCCTTATATCCAGTTGTGTCTGTTTTGGAGCAGATTGATAAGAAACCTTAACCAAATTGGGACCATTATGGGAAGAGCTGGGGCAAATGCAAAATGCAGGTGGGCAGCTTTGTCCTTCTTGTTAGGGAGGAACCCCAAATTATTTTTGAGGACTTGCTCCTATTACTTTTGGTGTTTCATTCAGCCATTGCTACTGCGAGCTTCTTGTTGACACACACATATAGATTAATGCATAGGAGCAGCCAGAAGAAAAAATGGAATATGCCAAAAAAGTGCTCATGATAAACTGTAGAGTCACCGAGTCTGAATAGCTTTCTCAGTGTGACTGTTGAGACTGGCACATCTTAAAATCTGACTTCAGTGAAACTTGACATTTTTTAGGATCTAAGTTTTATTTTATTATAAATTTATTATTATTATTATTTTGAGATGGAGTCTCCCACTGTCACCCGGACTGGAGTGCAGTGGCGCAATCTCAGCTCACTGCAACCTCTGCCTCCTGAGTTCAAGTGATTCTCCTGCCTCAGCCTCCTGAGTAGCTGGGACTACAGGCACCTGCCACCACACCCGGCTAATTTTTTTGTATTTTTAGTAGAGACAGGGTTTCACCATGTTGGCCAGGCTGGTCTTGAACTCCTGACCTCATGATCCGCCTGCCTCGGCCTCCCAAAGTGCTGGAATTACAGGCGTGAGCCACCGCGCCCAGCCTTAAATTTATTGTTTTTTACAAAAGCATTGGTTTGGTGAAAAGGGATCAAGATTTTAAAATTCATGTTGTCAGTGGGGCAGATTATCAAGTTGAGGCATGAACCTATGTGCTACAAAGAATCCTTAGAATTTGGCAACTTCTTTGGCTCTTACGTTTTGAGGGTTCAGGATTAGGTACGGCTCACTTTTGGCAAATGTTGGGCGTAATTGTCTTCCTTTGGACACTCTTCTTAGCCAGTGATGCCACAGTAATCTTCAACCTCTTGGTCCTGCTTAGTACTACTACTTTTTAAAAAAGTTTTCCTAACTCGGGCCGGGTGTGGTGGCTCACACCTGTAATCCCAGCACTTTGGGAGGCCGAGGCAGGCGGATCACCTGAGGTCGGGAGTTCAAGACCAGCCTAACCAACATGGAGAAACCCCATCTCTACTAAAAATACAAAAAATTAGCCAGGCGTGGTGCATGCCTGTAATCCTAGCTACTCGGGAGGCTGAGGCAGGAGAATCTCTTGAACCTGGGAGGCGGAGGTTACAGTGAGCCAAGATCATGCCATTGCACTCCAGCCTGGGCAACAAGAGCAAAACTCTGTCTCAAAAAACAAAACAAAACAAAACAAAAAAAGTTTTCTAACTCTGAAAGTAATACATGCTCATTGTAGAAAATACAGGAAATGTAGAAAAGTAGAAAGGGGAAAATCATCCACAAGTTTATCAATCAGACAACCATTATTACTATCTTGCAGTATTTCTTTTTAGTCTTTAATGCATTTATTCTATGCATTAATACAATATATACTTTTTAAGAAGCATAAAAAATACAGTTGAGATTAATAATTGTTATTTTAATTATATTTTTTCACTTAATGTAAGCATTTCCCTATATTAAAAACTCAGCATATTTAAATTACCTCATAATATACCGTTTTAATATATAGTCTTTTCCTTTTTAGGGACACTTGATGGGTCAAAGTTTTAATGCCTAAACTTTTTTCCTTTTGTATTTTAGGGATCCAGAAGGCTTACGAGTATTTTATTATCTTGTCCAGGACCTGAAGTGTTTGGTCTTCAGTCTTATTGGATTACACTTCAAGATTAAACCAATCTAGACTGAATATTGGTGTGGACATGGGGGGTGGGTGGGAGTAGAAAATTTTGTGTATATCAGGGCAGTATTTTTTTATGAACTATAAATGATTGTCTTTAATAAATATGTGATAAAATCCAATTTTTATTATTTTATAAAGACCTGAACATGTGAACTCTTCTCAATTACTTTGTAGAACACTAACATTCTATGTGAAGTATTGCCCAAAAATCAAATCTAATCAACTCTCTAGATATACCTATGATTTTATAGGAAATAAGAGAATACAGAAACATGTTTTAAAAATACAGTGGGACTTCAATCAGCCATATTGAGAGGAAATTCCAAGGCAAATGACCTGGTTTCTTCAATAAATTACAAGGGAAACAGATAGAATGGGAGCTTATAAAGGAGACTTAAGAGACACATAACACAATGTTTGGACCCTATTTGGATAATGATTCAAAAAAATGTAAAATTGGGCCAGATGTGGTGGCTCACACCTGTAATCCCAACACTTTGGGAGACCGAGGCAGGCGGGTCACCAAGACCTGCCTGGCTAACATGGTGAAAACCTGTCTACTAGAAATACAAAAATTAGCTGGGCGTGGTGGCATAAGCCTGTAATCCCAGCTACTCAGGAAGCTGAGGCAGGAAAATCGCTTGGACCCTGGAGCAGAGGCTGCAGCGAGCAGAGTTTGTACCACTGCACTTCAGCCTGGGCAACAGCGAGACCCCATGTCAAAAAAAAAAAAAAAGTAAAATTAATACCATTAAGGAAATTTAACACTGGTTTGATGGTTTAGGTATGAAATAGTATGGTGGTTGGAGTTTTTAAAATCACCTTTTATAGATACAAATATTTTAGGTTTTAGTAGGTATTTCAGTGTAGGGGAAAATACTTTGGTTTCTTACATGATAACAGGATAAAATGTTTGGTCTCAGAAAAGTTTTCCATTAATCCATTTTAAAATCAGAATACCAACAGCCATTCAGGACCAAGACCAAGTTGTATAGTGTGGGAATTTGTTCAGCAGGTAGACCTGTAGACAACTTTTTCTTTCTGCTAAATTGCATGGCTTCTTTAAGCACAGTACTGGTTGAACAGATTGCACCTGCTGAAAGGAACCAGGCCTTACTAAGCCTCATTTGAAGGGAAGTGATTAGCCTAAACTCACCCTACTAAAAACAGGCCAGCTTGGGACAAGGTCCCAAGTGTCCTGACTCCTGGACCCATTCTTTTTCCACCACACTCTACTCCTTCAAAGACTATGGGGCAAGTTAAGAACAGCACTGAGATGTCAGGGTTCCTGACTCCAGTGCACCTCCCCCTATAAGAGTACTTGGGGCAATGAAGCAAGTTGGTAGTAAAGTAGACATCAAAAAAAGTCACTCTAAACTTTAAAGAAGTGACGGGACCTCAGGTGATAAAAGAGTCTTTTGTTTTCTGAGGCAAAAAAAACTTTAGTAAAGTATTCTTGGCCGGGTGCAATGGCTCACCCTGTAATCCCAGTACTTTGGGAGTCTGAGGTGGGTGGATCACCTGAGGTCAGGAGTTCGAGACCATCCTGGCCAACCTGGTGAAACCTCATCTGTACTAAAAATAAAAAATTAGTCGACTGTGGTGGCGCACGCCTGTAATCCCAACTACTCGAGAGGCGGAGGCAGGAGAATCGCTCGAACCCAGGAGTTGGAGGTTGCCGTGAGCCGAGATTTCGCCACTGCACTCAAGCCTGGGCGACAAAAGCAAAACTCCATCTCAAAAAATAAAAAATAAAAAGAGACCGGGCATGGTGGCTCACGCCTGTAATCCCAGCACTTTGGGAGGCCGAGGCAGGCGGATCACCTGAGGTCAGGAGTTTGAGACCAGCCTGACCAACATGGAGAAACCCCATCTCTACTAAAAATACAAAATTAGCCTGGCATGGTGGTGCATGCCTGTAATCTCAGCTACTCGAGAGGCTGAGACAGGAGAATCACTTGAATCTGGGAGGCAGAGGTTGCGGTGAGCCGAGATCATGCCATTGCACTCCAGCCTGGGCAACAAGAATGAAACTCCATCTCAAAAAAAAAAAAAAAAAACAAAAGAAAAAAACAGGGTTTGGCTGGTCTCAAACTCCTGTGCTGAAGCCGTCGTCCTACCTCAGCCTCCCAAAGTGCTAGAATTACAGGTGTGAGCCACTGTGCCCAGCCTATCTGTCTGTCTGTCTGTCTGTCTGTCTGTCTATCTATCTATATATATATATATATTTTTTTTTTTTTTTTTTTTTGAGACAGGGTCTTGCCCTGTCACCCAGGCTGGAGTTTAGTGGTGTGATCTTGGCTGATTGCAACCTCCGCCTCCCAGGCTCAAGCGATCCTCCCATCTCAGGCTCCCGAAAAGCTGGGACCATAGGCATATGCCACCATGCCTGGCTAATTTTTTGTATTTTTAGTAGAGATGTGGTTTCACCATGTTGCCCCTGAACTCCTGAGCTCAAGCGATCCACCTGCCTCGGCCTCCCAAAGTGCTGGGATTATGGGCATAAGCCACCGTGCCTGGCCCCTATTTATATCTTATACTGTCTATGTTTTGAAAAGTTATTATTTTTGATAGGTTCATCTTTTAGTCTTGCTACTCAATATATGAGTAGTTTACACACAATTAGTGTTAAAATCTTTTGCATTTGTCTGTGTAGTTACCATTCCCAATGAGTTTTGTGCCGTCAGACGATTTCTCATTGCTTAACATCCTTTTCTTTCAGACTGAAAAACACTCTTTAGCATTTCTTGAAGGAAAGGTCTGGTGTGTTGACAAAATCCCTCAGCTTTTGTTTGTCTAGGAAATCTTTATTTTTCCTTCATGTTTAAAGGACATTTTTGCTGGATATACTATTCTAGGATAAATGTTTTTTTTCTTCAGTACTTTAAATGTCATGCCACTCTCCTGGCCTGTAAGCTTTCCACAGAGAAGCCTGCTGCCAGACCCATTGGAGCTTCTTTGTGTGTTATTTGTTTCTTTTTTCTTGCTGCTTTTAGGATCCTTTCTTTATCTTTGATCTTTGGGAGTCTGATTATTAAATGACATGAGGTAGTCTTATTTGGGTTAAATCTGCTTGGTATTCTATAACTTTCTTGTACTTGAATATTTATATATTTCTCTAGGTTTGGAAAGTTCCGTTATTCTTCCTTTGAATAAACTTTCTATCCTAATTTCTCTCTACCTTCTCTTTAAGGCCAATAACTCTTAGATTTGCCCATTTGTGGCCATTGTCTAGATATTGTAGGCATACTTCATCCTTTTTTGTTATTTTTTCTTTCAATTCTTCTGTGTATTTTCAAACAGCCTGCCTTCAAGCTCACTAATTCTTTCTTCTGCTTGATCAGTTCTCATGTTTAGAGACCCTGGTGCATTCTTTGGTGTATCAGTTGAATTTATCAGCTCCAGAATTTCTATTTAATTTTTAAAATTATTTCCATCTCTTTGTCAAATTTATCTGGCAGGATTCTGAGTTCCTTTTTCCATCTCTTTGTTAAGTTTATCTGGCAGGATTCTGAGTTCCTTCTCTGTGCTATCTTGAATTTCACTGAGCTTTCTCAGTGACAGTGAATTCTCTGAAAGGTCACATATCTCTGTCACTCTGGGATTGGTCACTGGTGCCTTATTTAGTTCATTTGATTAGGTCATGTTTTCTTGGATGGTATTGATGTTTGTGACTGTTGGTCAATGCAGAGCATTGAATAATTAGGTATTTATCATAATTTTCACAGTTTGGGCTTATTTGTACTCATCCTTCTTCAGAAGGCTTTTCCAAGTACTCAAAGGGAAATGAGTGTTGTGATGTAAATATTTGGTCACTGCAGCTGTAACTGCATTAGGGGGCACCCCAAACCCAGCGATGCTGTGACTCTTGTAGACTCAGAGGTACTGCCTTGATGGTCTTGGGTAAGATCCGAGAGAATTCCCTGGATTACCAGGCAGAGTCTCTTGTTATCTTCCCTTACTTTCTCCCAAATAAATGGAGTCTCTCTCTCCATGCTGAGCTGCCTGGAGTTGGGAGAGGAGTGACACAAGCACCCCTGTGGCCACCACTGCTGGAACTGTGCTGTGTCAAACCTGAAGCCAGCACAGTAGTGGGTCTTGCCCAAGGCCCATGGTGACTATTGCCTGGTTATTGCTGATGTTTATTCAAAGCCCAAAGGCTCTTTAGTCAGCAGGTGGTGAATCCAGCCAGGCTTGTGTCTTACCCTTTGGGGTGGCAGGTTCCCTTCTGGCCCAGGGTGGGTTTAGAAATGCTGTCCAGGAGCTAGGGCATGGAGTCCGGGCTTTAGAAACCTACTTGGTGCTTTATTTTACTGTGGCTGAGCTGGTACCCAAGTTGCAAGACCAACTCCTTTTTAACTCTTTCCTCTCTTTTCCTTAAGCAGAAGGAGTCTCTCCCTGTGGCAACCATTACTGGGAAGGCACTGGGTCACACCTGAAGGCAGCACAGTACTGGGCCTCACCCAGTACTGTGGCTATTACAAATGTTTATTCAAGGCCCAACAGCTCTTTAGTCAGCAGGTGATGAATCCTGCCAGGACTGGGTCCTTTCCTTCAAAGCAGCGGGTTCCCTTCTGGCCCATGGTAGCTCTAGAAATATCTGGGAGATAGAGCCTGGCAAGGGGGCTTCGGGACTCTGCGTGGTGTTTTATTCTACTGTGGCTGGGATGGTATCCAAGCTGTAAGACAAAGTCCTCTTTACTTTCCCCTCTCCTTTCCTCTAAGGGAAAGGAGTCTCTCCTGGAGCCGTGAGCTGTGCTGCCTGGGGTTGGGGGACTGGTGACATAAACACTCCTTTGGCTCCCCAACTGGTATCTCACTAGGCTGTGTGCACCCCAAGTCCACGGGCTCTGAGCTCAGCACAGCACCAGGACTTGCCCAGGAATTGCAGTCTTTGTGGCCTAGACTGCCTTTCGAATTTATTTAGGACCCTGAAGCACTTTAGCCAGTGGTGGTGGGGCTCGCCAGAACCTGACCACTGGGATGGATGATTCCCCTCTGGCTAGGGTTTCTCTAAGTGCTTCCTCTGTGGGCACTAGCTGAATTCTGCCCTGAGTTGCTTTCCACTGTGACAGGGCAAAACTCAGTTCCAATGCAAAGTCCCATAAGCACACAGATTCTCTCTCTATGCCAGGCAGCCAGGTGCTGCCAGAGGATGAGGGAGGGGTGGTGGTAGCAATTCAAGACTGTCTTTCCTACCCTCTTCATTGCCTTGTTCCTTTTTTTTTCTTCTTTTATGAGATAGAGTCTCACTCTGTCACCCAGGCTAGAGTGCAATGGCATGATCTCAGCTCACTACAACCTCCACCTCCCGGGTTCAAACAATTCTCCTGCCTTAGCCTCCGGAGTAGCTGGGACTACAGGTGTGCACTGCCATACTCGGCTGATTTTTGTATTTTTAGTAGAGACAGGGTTTCACTATGTTGGCCAGCTAGGTCTCAAACTCCTGACCTCAGGTGGTCTGCCCGCCTCAGCCTCCCAAAGCACTGGGATTACAGGTGTGAGCCACCGCACCCAGCCATTGCCTTATATCTTGATGTGACGTTACAACCAGCTACTGTGATTGCTACCTGAGTTTTGGTTCTCATGAAGGTGCTTTCTTGTGTGGATAGTTGTTCAGTTTGGTGTTCCTGCCAGGGAAGAGGAGGAGGAGGATCACTGGAGGGTTCTATTTGGCTATCTTGCCCCACCTCCTAGAAGAGTCTTGAATGTGCTGTTCCTTTTACCGTTAATCTCCACAGCTCCTGCATGGTCTCAGATGTAGCCTGGACAGGAGGCCAGGTAAAATAAAGTTCAATAAACGTTATGAGAGAAGGATAAGCCAGGTGGGCTCCCAAAAAAGAGCCAGCTGAAGGGGAATGTCCAGTCGCAAGGACCACAGTGAGAAGGATGTGGACACAGGGCAAACTCTGGAGAAGGGCCTAGAAACCAGGTCTCTTGGGTGAAACAGGAAAGGGCAGTTTGAAGAAAGGCATCATCCCCAAATCTGATAAACCAATACATTCTACTTTTTAAAGCGTATTGGTTTATCTTTATTTGGCAGTCTTGGAACTCTTCCTTTTGTAGCTTTTCCCCTGGGCAGAGGGAGCTGACGTGATCTGAGAAGTTCCAGGGCAGGCAGAGTAGTGAAGAGCCTGGAAAGAACTGAGGGTCAGGAACTGTCCTGTTCGCTTAAAGCAGGCACAAAATTGGCGTTCAGTAACTGTCTGTGGCACCACCGAATCCTGGAGTCAGGCTTCCGCTGGCCTGAGCACAGGTTGCTCGCGGACCTGGCTGACCTCCACTGGCCCCAGATCCCCAGATGCGAAAAGCCCAGTGGGCCAGGCGAGCAGCGGCGCGCAGAAGTCCCTGCCCCGCGGCCCGGCCCCGGCCCCGCCCTACTGAGGGTGCGCAGACGGCACCCGCCTTTTACGACGCGCCGGAAAGCAACGGCAAGGGCCGCAGCCAGCACCGGGCGGAGAGGGCTACCATGGGGGTGAGGGGAGGCCGCCCGCCGCGGGGACACGGAGGGGAGGTGGCGAGGGTCTGGGAGGCAACAGCTCGCGCCAGGAGGAGATGAAGCGAGTGGGTGCGCGCTGAAGGAGCAGGAGGCAGAAGGAGTGTCTCCCTGTGGCACCCACGGCTGGGAATGCGGGAGGGTCGGGCAGGCGTGGGGCTGCGCAGGCACGGCTGACGCAGTCGCTCTGGCCCTCCCCCTCAGAAAATCGCGCTGCAACTCAAAGCCACGCTGGAGAACATCACCAACCTCCGGCCCGTGGGCGAGGACTTCCGGTGGTACCTGAAGGTGCGGCCGGGGCGGGGCCCGGGGAGAGGAGGCCCGTCCTGATCTCAGTGCTGAACCGGAGCCTTCTCTCCGGCAGTATGAGAAAATATTTAACCAGGCACATTAAGTGTTCGGGGTTTTCCTAGTTAGAATTTTACGTTTGCTTTCTATTAAAGTGTATTGGTTTATCTCTAATTGGCAGTCTTGGAAAGCTTCATTTTGTAGTTCTTCCCTGTGTTAAATATTTCGTGGTCTGTAAATGGACACTAAACGAAATGCTACTTGAAGGGACGCTTGTGATTATTTAATAAGGTGAATAGTTCGCCTTTCGTTTATTGATTTGGTTTTCTTTATTGTGAAATAGTTTAATTTTGTGCGTAATCCACCCTTCCTTAGCCCTCCCACACTGGTAAAGCTGGTACCCTAGTGGCATGGTCTACAGAGGCCTCCCCTTCCCCAGCAGTTCGAGGCTCTTCACTCTTCCAGATCCCAGAGCTTCTGCTCTGTTTTACTCCTGGTCAAAAATCCCAGCATCCTTCTGTACCTCTCAAAAGCCCTGTTTTTCGGGAAGCTGCCTCCGGACTACTTTTGTTTCCCAGGATTTTGAAGCCTGAATACCAGGGCTTACTTGGGAGAATCTGTTCTTTGGCTTGAAGAAGCGGAATCGAGTGAAGGAGACAGAAAAATAGAGTAACAATAGAGTGATAAGTGCTTATACCAGTGACATACAGGGCCTGTGGGAACATAAAGCTAACCAAGCAGAGTGGGTCGGGGGCCTGCTGAGGCCATTTCTCTTTTTTTTTCTTAATTGACACAGAATTGTACATATTTATGGGGTATATAGTGATGTTCCGATAAATGTAATGTATTGTGATCAGATCAAGGTAGTTAGCATATTCACCTCAAACGTGTATCATTTCTTTGTGTTGGGAGCATTTAATATCCTAGCTATTTGAAACTATATATTATTGTCAGCTATAGTCATCCTACAGTGCTATAGAACACTAGAACTTATTCCTCCCATATAGCTGTAATTTTGTATCTTCTAACAAATCTCTCCATATTCCCCCCCCTCACCTCCGCTGAAACCATTTCTGCACCACAGGTGCCTTGAATCCCCGGCCACACTGAGCACTTCATAGAGGAGGGTGGGCACGCCGGCATAGGAAACAGCCTTACCTATCCTTTGCCCAGAGATAGTTCTAGTTTTGTCCTTGTTGGGGCAGGTGTTAGGGATGAAGTGAGATTGCCATCAAGAAGGTAGATCATGAGCCTGCCCACCTCCCACTGTTCTTACCCTTTCCTTGGTGTCTGTGCAGCAGAGCCAGCTGCTTTACTAACATTCTTTTTCCCCAAAGATGAAATGTGGCAACTGTGGTGAGATTTCGGACAAGTGGCAGTACATCCGGCTGATGGTAACTGTTCCCCGCCCAACCCCCAACATAAACACTCACAAACACACATACACTTCTGGGCAGGGATTTGGGGAAACTGGCCTTCATCTCTCCAGTTCTTTGCTCCCTGCTTTTTGTGGTTTGGGAGGGTAGGTGTCAGTGTGATCAGCACTGGATTCAATAGGCATCTTTGAGGTATGAGGCAGAGTTCAAAATCAAGGGGAAGCCCTTTTTTTATTTTCCTCAGGAAGCCTTCCCAGGAGTCTTGTCCTAGTAAGTTACCCTTTCTGGGTCTTGGTCTCTTTAAGTGGACAATAAATGGTGGGCTCGATCTCCTCAGGACTGTACATCTAATTCATATGTGACTGAAAGTTCTGTTTGCTTTTTGCCAGGACAGTGTGGCACTGAAGGGGGGCCGTGGCAGTGCTTCCATGGTCCAGAAGTGCAAGCTGTGTGCAAGAGAAAATTCCATCGGTAGGTCAGGCTGTGCGTACTGAGTTCTGCCAGGGTGGCCCACAGCTTCCTGGCACCAGGCTGAAAGTAGACTCATGTTACCTGAGGGTGGAGTCAGGCCTAAGATGCCGACACCTGTACAGCGTGATCTTTTTCAGGGCCACATGTGGGCACCTGGCTGGGGCGAGGGTATGGACTCAAGTCAACTTTGTGTTCTCTTTTCTATTTCAGAGATTTTAAGCAGCACCATCAAGCCTTACAATGTAAGTTTGCTGCTGTAGTGGCAGGGATGGTGGGCTTAAATCCTAACTGGAGTTAGTAGGTCTGGGTTCTAGAGTCATGCCTGCATCAGAGTGACCTGCCATAGGACATTCACTCATGAACTTAGTTCTTCTTTGACTCAGTCATTTATCCACTGTACACTGAGTGCTTGGTATATTGCCTCTTGCAGTGCCTTCTTATGAGGGCTGGGCTGTGAGAGCTCAGGGGACCTCTGACACAACCTAGCTGTTCAGTTTGCATCACTGAGAGCACTTGCCTTGTCTTCATTTTAGGGGACTAGCAAGCTTTCTCTGAAACCATGGGTGGGGTAGTCGTTTGGTGCATCCCATCCTTTATATCATCAGTGTTAACAAGTTAGCCCAAAGGTGAGGGAGGGTGTGCTTTGGATCTGTTTGTTTAAAGAAAGCCAGTTATATGTATTCACCTATTCCTTATTTGGTATTTATTTAAAGTATCTTGAGTTGTGCCAAATTCTTGGCTTTGTCCTGAAGTTAAAGAGAAATTAAATGAGGACTCGCCTTCACGTACATAATAATCTAGTGGAAAATACAAAAAACAAGAATCGAACTAGGGCCCTAACAGAGAAGTGCCTTACCAGTGCCAGAGATGTGGTCAGTGTGCAGGAAATTACTTTACAGTGAATGACAGGATGAGACTGAATGTAGGGCATGGCACTTGTGGTCCCTAAGCCCATAGGTCAGGTAGGCATGAATTTCCTGGCCACCTGCCCCCCAAGAGGTGCCCCCTCCACATACATAACCATTTCAAAGGCTATAAGACAGCCCTCTGCCCTTACTGCATGGCAGATGGTCAGCAAAAGGCTATGGTTAAGTGTACTGGGTCTGTTTGGATGATCTAGAGACTTTGGAGCTTAACATTCTTGTTCATATTTTTGGTGTTGATAATTTTATTTACTATTTATTGAGCACTGTGCTGGGCACTTTATATGCATTTCAAAATCTGACAGTAAAATTGTAGAGGTTTCCTCGGCTCTATTTGACAGTTTAGGAATCTTGGGCCCAGAGGGGAAGATAGGCAGAGCTTACCTTACATCCAGGCAGGTTGACCCCAGCATCCACGCTCTTCTGCAGCCTCCATGTCTGCTGTCTACAGAAAGCTTCATAGGGAGCAGGTGCCCAAGGCAGGCTTCCTCTAAGAAGGGGATGAGTTCTTCCTGGGTCTCATACTAGGCCTCCAGGGGCAGTAAGTGCCCATTTGGCAGGAAGGAGAGGGGCCATGGGGTCATCCTGAGAGCTCATTTGGGCCTGCCTCCTCAACACACTTCCTTTCTAGGCTGAAGACAATGAGAACTTCAAGACAATAGTGGAGTTTGAGTGCCGGGGCCTTGAACCAGTTGATTTCCAGCCGCAGGTGTGTGTGTATCTTTCTGGGGAATCTTTGTCTTTGGGGAGGGGATGTATGAAGTGACAGCCAGAACTGTGCTACCTACAGATACCATGGACTAGACATTCTCCTTTCTAGCGGTAGTAATAATTGTCCCTTAAGTGGCTGCTGTATGCTTGGGCACCCATGCCATCATTTTTACATGTTACCACATTTAATTCTTATGGTAACCCTATGAATTTATTCATCCTGTTCTTCAGATGAGGAAGGAACTGAAGAGATTTTGCAACTTGCTCAGGGTCACACAGTAAGCAGTGGAGCTATAGTTTCAACCCAGATCTATCTGACTTGAGCTGGTGCTCATCCCCCTTTATTTGTGCATGTTTCACCTCACAACAAATCTGTGAGGTAGGCAGAAGAGCAAATACTTCATCCCCGTTTTATCAATAACTAAGGTCCAACCTGGGAAATGACATGCCCAGGAGCCTTCAGCAAACCAGGGCTAGTGGAAGGGATTACGCTGCCCCTGCTGCCTTCTGGTCCAAGGCTGTAATTCAGAGAAACCACCACTCTAGTTCTGAGGCAGCTGCCGGGTCCTGGAAGCTCAGCAGTTATTCCAAGACAGGTACTCATACTGCATCTCTGTCCTCCATCCCAGAAGTGTGAGAAGAGCCAGCAGCCTGGCCGGCCCTTACTTATAGCCCAATGCCTTCTTTTGCCAAGACTAACTGGTACCTTCTTGTGCCCTGCAGGCTGGGTTTGCTGCTGAAGGTGTGGAGTCAGGGACAGCCTTCAGTGACATTAATCTGCAGGAGAAGGTATGAGACTTGGGGGCTTTGGGAGGTACTGTAGGGCACCTGGTGGGAATTATTTTTTTGGTGGACAAGGCTCATCAATGGAAAGCCAACTCTGTATTTTTGTGCTTTTTGTTAGTGATTTTGCTGTTGAAATGGCCACAGGTATAGTGCTAAAGTGCTTTCTAATGTTCCTACGTATGAGAAAGCTATGATGCCCCTTACAGAGAGAATACGTGTTAGATAAGCTTTATTCAGGCATGAGCTATAGTGCTGCTGGCTGTGAGTTCATGAATCAACAATATATATTAAATAAGTTATCTTTAAACAGAAACACATAAAGCTAGATTATTGATTGGTTGATGAAAATGTGACCAGAGGCTCATAGGAACCTAACCCTGTATTTCCCCGGGGAGTATTCATTCAGTATTCCCTAATTCAGTGTTTGTGGTGGCTTTACTGCACCTAACTACCATGAAGAACAAGAAATAGTCTGTATTACTGGACATATTACTACCCTGCAGATAGAAAAGCCTTGTGCTCAAGCCTTGAAGGAAGGACAAAAACTTCATTTCATTTGCTCAGCACCTAATAACAGCAGCTAGCATCTACTGAGCTCTTACATGTGCCAGGCACTCACTATGCTGAGTGCTTTTATTTTATTTTATGTATTTTTTGAGACAATCTCACTCTGTCGCCCAGGCTGGAGTGCAGTGGTGCAATGTCAGCTCACTGCAACCTCTGCCTCCTGGGCTCAAGTGATCCTCCTACCTCAGCCTCCCAAGTAGCTGGGATTACAGGCGCCTGCCACCATTCCTGGCTATTTTTTGTATTTTTAGTAGAGACCGGGTTTCACCTTGTTGGCCAGGATGGTCTCGGACCCCTGACCTGAAATGATCCACCTGCCTTGGCCTCCCAAAGTGCTGGGATTACAGGCATGAGCCACCACGCCCGGCTGCTGAGTGCTTTTAAATGTGTTACCTCATTTGATTCTTTCAACATTCAATATGAACTCCATTGTCCTTTTTTTGTTTTTGTTTTTTTTAAATAGAAGACAGGACTCGGAGAAGGGACTCAGAGAAGTTAAGTGATTTGCCCACAGTCATACAACTGAAAGAGCTAGAATTCAGGCCTGAGCTATCTGGCTCTGTTCAGGGTCATACATGTTCATGATTATTTGAGTCAGAGCCTGAGCTGGGCCTTTTAAGTCCCAGTTTTCTGCTCTCCACATGGCTGCATTCTGCGTTGTGAGGCTAACAATGCCATTTTGTTTCCCAGGACTGGACTGACTATGATGAAAAGGCCCAGGAGTCTGTGGGAATCTATGAGGTCACCCACCAGTTTGTGAAGTGCTGATCCCTCTTCCTTCCCAGTTGCCCTTAAGAACTGAGAAAGGACAAAGTACTCTAAGCAGCAGAGCCCACAGAGGCTCGTTCCTTTGACCCTTGTCTCCTGGTGGCTATACGAAACCTTCACAATCTGCATGCTGGACTTTATTACAGCTTCCCAAGCCCCATCAATAAAGCCCCTGTTCACGCTGCACTGGTGCATGAAGGTGAAGTAAGGAGGCAGCTACTCCCTCCACAAATAAGAATTCGTGCAGCAGCAGTTCACTCCTTAGGAAAATGAAGAGTATTTTTAAGGAGATGGTATCTCCCCAGTCAAGGGCAAGTTTACAGAGATGAAACCGCGATCCCACCATCACTCAATGAGCCAGAAGCCAATGGTGACGTACTGTTACCTGAACTTACTGAACTTGCTGTTGGAAAGATCTTTGTGAGGATTAGGAATTAGGTTAAAAGAAATTAAGAACCATCTTCAAGCAAAAATTAAACTTTATTTCTGCTTAAACAATAAATACACCTGAGTTAGTTTTCCAAACCTTTCCTCCTGATTAAATGCCCTTAAAACTTAAATCTCTTGTTATCTTCAGTTGTGATCTAGTCCCAAGTGGAAATTACGTTTAGCTTTAAAACCATGAATTTAAAGCTCAAGCCTGTAGCTGGCTGCCTAGGCAGCTTATGATTAGTTTCACAGAATAGCACCCACTGGCTACACAGGCCCCAGTTTTTTTTTCTTTTTTGTTTTTTTGAGACAGTCTCGCTCTGTCGCCCAGGCCGGAGTGCAGTGGTGTGATCTCAGCTCACTGCAACCTCCACCTCCTGGGTTCAAGCAATTCTGCTTCAACCTCCCAAGTAGCTGGGATTATAGGCACATGCCACCACACCCAGCTAATTTTTGTATTTTTAGTAGAGACAAGGTTTCACCATGTTGGCCAGGTTGGTCTCAAACTCCTGACCTCAAGTGATCCACCCGCCTCAGCCTCTCAAAATGCTGGGATTACAGGCATGAGCCACCATGCCCGGCCTCCCAGTTTTCATGATGAGGAAGTGATGGTAGCTTTTCATCTGCCCAGAAGTTAACTTTTGATGGATTTGCCTTCTAAGGCATCAAACATGTCTTCTAAGGCCTTCTCCACACATTGGAGAAACTCCCGGGCATTGCGGCCTGGGTAGGAAGAGACATTGCAGCCTATCCAGTTGTCATGAACAGCATACCCAACACCAAAGCCATCAGAGACCACAGGGGCAAAGCCCCCAAGGTTCACTGCTGGGCTGCTCAGTGTGCTCGTGGACAGGACATTGTGGTTTATCTGCCCGTATGCAGGGTCCAGGTAGAGCTCAGGCAAGATGATCCCTTTGGCTGCTGCCAGATGCCGCAGAGCAAACAAGTGTCGGTCAAAGCCCTGGCCTGTGAGAAACAAAATGGAAAACCAGAGTCTCAGGATGGAAAAGGACCTCAGGAAAACCTCCCAACTCACCACATGGTAGGAATACCCCTCACAGCATCCTTGAGAGTGGGGGAAGGCTCTACCTCTATGCACACCACCAACTGACTAACCTTCAGAGCAGCTCAAGCTAGATTATTTTAAATTATTTAGGAAATATATTATGTCATGTTACATTTAAAAATAGCTGTCAACAGCTGAGCTAAAAATGAGCCTAAAAGGAAAGCATAATTTTAAAGATGTGAAATCAGTTTAGTCAAAGAGTCAAGACAGTACAGGAAGACAGCTATGGACTCAAAAACTACAATAAAACTAAAAGTCTGATTCAAGTGTAAAAGAGAAGATTGAGTCAGTGGAACAAAATGGAAAGTCTGTTTGACCAGGGTTCGAATCTCAGTCTTACTACTAACTTGCTGTGTAACGGGGCCAGTGGCTTGGTTTTCTCCCTATAAAATGGAGGAAGAGAAGATTAGAATGTCTTGGAGGTCCCTTTCACTTCCAGCACTTCATAGCAACATGAAAGGACAACTATGACCCTCCAGGTCCTTTCCAGGTCTTGAATTTTATCAAAAAAAGGTAATGACGGATGACAATTGAGAAGAGCTTCTGAGATAACCTGTTTACAGAGAGCAGACACATTACAACTGAGGTGAAGCTAGTGGGGCCGTAAGTTTAGAAATCCTAAATTTTCAAAAGTGAGTCTGATAACCAATCAGTAATAGAAAAAGGTTGGGTGCAGTGGTGCATGCCTATAATCCTAGTGCTTTGGGAGGCCAAGGCAGGAGGATTGCTTGAGCCCAGGAGTTTGAGACCACCTTGGGCAATACAGTGGGACCTCATCTCTACAAAAAATTTTAAAAATTAGGCCCGGCATGGTGGCTTACGCCTATAATCCCAGCACTTTGGGAGGGTGAGGCGGGTAGATCATGAGGTCAGGAGTTTGAGACCAACCTGGCCAACATAGTGAAACCCCGTCTCTATTGAAAATATAAAAATTAGCTGGGCATGGTGGCATAAGCCTGTAGTCCCAACTACTCAGGAGGCTGAGGCAGGAGAATCGCTTGAACCCAGGAGGCAGAGGTTGCAGTGAGCTGAGATTGTGCCACTGCACTCCAGCCTGGGCAACAGAGCAAGAGTCCATCTCAAAAAAAAAAAAAAATTAAAATATCAGCTGGGCATGGTGGTGCATGCCTATAGTCCCAGCTATTTGGGAGGCTGAGGCAGGAGGATTGTTTGAGCCAAGGAAGTTGAGGTTGCAGTGAGCCATGATTGCACCACTGTACTCCAGCCTGGGTGACAGAATGAGACCGTGTCTCCAAAAAAAAAAAGGCCAGGTGCGGTGGCTCACGCCTGTATTCCTAGAACTTTGGGAGGCTGAGAGGGATGGATCACCTGAGGTCAGGAGTTCAAGACCAGCCTGGCCAAAATGGCAAAACCCCTTCTTTACTAAAAATGCAAAAACTAGCCAGGTGTAGTGGCGGGTGCCTATTATCCCAGCTACTTGGGAGGCAGAGGCAGGAGAATCACTTGAACCTGGGGGTGGAGGTTGCAGTGAGCCGAGATCACGCCATTGCACTCCAGCCTGGACGGAGGGAAACTCTTGTCTCCAAAAAAAAAAAAAAAAAAGAAAGAAAAAAGAATTAATGCGTCACAGCTGAAAGTGACCTTAAATGAGGACAAAGACACATGCATTTCCCCACCCCTGCTTAGGAGGCAAGAACATTCTGATCCCTAGTGGCTAGTGTGGCTGTTCAGACTGCTAGGGTAGAAAAGAAAAATTTGGGGAGTTGGCGATGGATTAAACCTAGTGAACGGGTAGAAATCAGATTTGGAGTAGAATGATTTAGGCTTGCTTACCCAAGCACTGAGGACAAGACCCAAGGGCATGCTCCCCACCCCTGCCTCACCCATTGCTGCTTCTTTGGTCAGCTGGCCATGGTACTTGGAGCACTCAACCATCATCTGCTGAAGCTCACCAGCACTGTGCCTGGAGGGCTCCCTGACAAAGGCCTCAGAGCACCTCTTTGTATAGACGGAGGCCGGGCGGATGGTCTCAGTGCGGCCGTGCTTGAATGCGGCAGTGCTACAGGACTCGTAGGTGGCCACTGTCTGCCCGTACTGCCGCAGGAAGGCCATCTGGAATGCCAGCTGGGCAACTGCGTCAGGGCTCAGCTTTTGCTTCTTCAGGAATTCTTTGCCTCCTCTCTGAAACTGGACGCAGTCAATAGTGAGGGTTTTCATGGTGGCATCAAACTTTTCCTTAGCAGCTGTGATGCCAGTCTTTAAGGCATCAGTCAGCTCGAAGTTGAGTTTCTGCACCGTGACAGTAGAGTCAGTGGTAGCTGGCTGGCTCTGTGGAGTGACGGCAGGGGTCTGAGTGCTGTCTTTAAATACTTCATTAAAAAATCTGAGCACTGCCACACCATCACCCCAAGAGTGCTCAAAGTGGACGGCAGTAGAGCCATCCTTGGCGATAATGAGGTTAAAGGATTTATCAAACCAGCGGTTTGTGCCATCCCCATGCAGCATATTGTGGGACAAGTGGACAAGGTCCTTAATGGGGAAGTCATCTAGGCAGAGACAGAACACTGCCGAGTCCACTTTCCTCAGGCTCTCCTCATTGCCACTACTCATCAGCTTCTGCCTGAGCTCTGCCCAGATGTCTCGGTTCTCACTGGTCAGGTATGCCAGGGGAAACTCGGGGGCGGGGCTGCTGTCTGAGAGAATGTACTTCAGATGTGCCTGGATTTCCGAGGGGCTCACAATGTTCCCATCTTGATCCAGGACATCAAAGATATAAAAATTTCCTTTCCTTAGGACCAGGAGGTGTCTGGCCTTGTCATCAGTGAAGAGTTCATCCCGACTGGGTTTGGGTAAACGAGTTGAGTTGAAAAGCCGAAAATACTGGGACATATCCAGGGGATACGCATTGACCAGGTAGGCCCCATACCAGGACAGAGAGGAAGGCACAAAGCGTATGAGTCTCTTGAAGGTGATAGTGTCACTTTTTGCAGGGTTCAAGTGGAACACTTCTGGCTCCAGAAGGCCAGCCCGGAGTGTCTTCAGAAACCGGATGGCAGAAACAGTCATGTTGGTTGCCCGGGTGAGCTGGTCATTATACTCAGATTTTGGGTCAGGATTGAAAGCCATAAATGGATTAAAGTTCAGAACAACGGAGTCTCGAGCAGATAGGTACATATCAAACCAGGGTCCTAAAAAATAAAAAGAAAAAAATAACATAAAATGTTAATGCTGTCCCTAAAAATAAAATTTGAAGAAGAAAAAAAATTCAAGCATAGACAAAGGAAATGGCATCAACCTCCAGAGAGAAGAATTCCCTGAATGTTTTTGCTCTGCAATAATTCAAGACATACAAATGGGGTCATACAATATATGGTGTTTTGCATTTAGCTTCTATCACTTACAATAATGTTTTTGTTTTGTTTTTTTGGGACGGAGGCTCGCTCCTGTCGCCCAGGCTGGAGAACAGTGCTGCAATCTCGGCTCACTGCAACCTCCGCCTCCCGGATTGAAGCGATTCTCCTGCCTCAGCCTCCTGAGTAGCTGGGATTACAGGCGTCCTCCACCATGCCCAGATAATTTTTGGATTTTTAGTAGAGACAGGGTTTCACCATGTTGGGCAGGCTGGTCTCAAACTCCTGACCTCAGGTGATCCACCCGCCTCGGCCTCCTAATAATGTTTTTAAGGTTCATCCATGTTGTAGCATTTAAGTTCTTCATTTCTTCTTAGCGCTGAACAATGTTCCATTATATGGATATACTATATTTTGTTTATCCACTCATCAGGTAATGGACATTTGAACTGTTTCCACTCTTTATTATGAATTACATTGCCTTTTTTTTTTTTAAGAGACACAGGATTTCTATCATCCAGGCTGGATTGCAGTGGTATGATCATGGCTCACTGCAGCCTTGAACCCTGGGCTCAAGCGATCCTCCCACCTCAGCCTCCCAAGTAGCTAGGACTACAGATGCACACCACCAGCCTGGCTAATTTTTTTATTTTTGGTAGAGATGGGGTCTTATTATGTTGCTCAGGCTGGTTTCAAGCTCCTGGCCTCAAGTAATCCTCTCACCTCAGCCTCTTAAAGTGCTGGGATTACAGGTGTGAGCCACTGCACCTAGCTATTAAGAATTATGTTGTTATGAACATTCTTATACATGTTTTTGTATGGACATAGCTAGGAGTGGAACTACTATCACATGGTAAGTCTCTGTTTAACCTTTGAGGAACTGCCAGGATGTTTTCCAAAGTGGCTGCACCATTCCCACGAGCTGTCTGTGAGGGTTCCAATTTTTCCACATCCTCAGCAGCACTTGTTACATGTCTTGTGGCGTGGAGATATTCTGGTAGGTGTAAAGTAGTATAGCATTGCAGATTTGGTTTGCATTTTCCTAATGTTTATTAATTGCTTTTTCTTCCTCTTCTGTTTCCTTTCTTGGTTTAAAGGAATAAAATATGGTAACACTCCACTTGCATTCATGCTGGAACAGAATAGTTAATTCCCACCCCATCTCTTTAGGTTTCTCTTGCTTCATCTCCTTTCAGGGGCAACAATCATACTTGATTGCTCCCCGATAAGGGGGGAACGTCTTCATTGTCCTTCTATGTACAGTGTACATTTGTACACTCCCTGTTTAGAAAGTACTAAAAAAGCTATTATAAATATCAGTGCATGGATCACTCAGACTAGCCCTCTGAGTTCCTATAGATGTTTTACCTGTAAAAATTCCAGAAGCAATATTTTATCAGAAAATATGTCAGGGAAAGTTCCTGCTGGGATTAGTAAACATGAATAAACTCTATAAATAAGGACTATCATTCAGGCAAATAATGTTCATATGTATAGCACTGGGAAAAGGATTAATAGATGCAGATTTCTCTGTTACTCATTTGTTGGTCCATCCACTCATTCCATCCCTTGAGAATCAGTGCTGTGCCAGGCCTTGGTCCAGGGGATTTAGAGAGGAATAGGACATGGTCTTTGATTCTGAAAAACTCTGGTGAAGGAGGCAAATAATTAAAACATAACGCAATGCACTAAAATGGTGAGAGAAAAGTACTGGTGGATAAGATATATTTGATGAAAGAAGACATAAATTCATGCCTCTGACCCCCCTTTAGCAAAAGAATTTCAAAGAGACATAAACCAGTCAGGCCAAGAGAATGGGAGACGAGAAAACAAATACTGGAAGCTGGAAAGCACTTATGCAACTGGTAATGACTAAAGCAGACTCAAGAAAGCCAATCCTAAATTGGCAGGAGAGAAAGCCAAGAAATCATATGATTTGCACAGCAGAACCCCCAGAGGGCTCAGTAATTGGCAACCTAGATACATCTGGTTGAAGGACTATTCAATTATATCACCACTACCACAACCTGAGATTCCCTCCTCACTCCTGTAGAAGACTTAAGTTTTACTCTCTGGAGATAATAAAACTGGGGGCTGGGTGCAGTGGCTTATGCTGGTAATCCCAGCAATTTGGGAGGGCGAGGTGGGTGTATCATGAGGTCAGGAGATCAAGACCATCCTGGCTAACATGGTGAAACACCGTCTCCGCTAAAAATACAAAAAATTAGCCAGGTGTCGTGGCACGTGCCTGTAGTCCCAGCTACTCAGAAGGCTGAGGCAGGAGAATCACTTGAACCCAGGAGGCTGAGGTTGCAGTGAGCTGAGATCGCACCACTGCACTCCAGCCTGGGTGACAAAATGAGACTCTGTCTCAAAAAATAAATAAATAAAATAAAACTGGGAGACCTGAATCACAGTTGAGATCTCAAACCTTCTTCCCTTACTTACCCTGCCTTCTACAACACTAGCAACCTTTTGGCAGTTTACTGGAAAAGCCTCCCTAGGGAAGCTAACCCAACTACACTACCATTAGGGGCAACCCAGGGAAGCAGTTTAGCTGGATCACTGTATTAGTCTGTTTTCACACTGCTATAAAGAACTACCTGAGACTGGATAATTTATAAAGAAGAGAAGCTTAACTGACTTAGTTCCGCATGGCTGGGAAGGCCTTAGGAAACTTACAATCATGGTGGAAGGCAAAGGGGAAGCAAGGCACATCTTACACAGCAGCAGGAGAGAGAACAAGCAAGGAGTAGGAACTGCCAAACACTTTTAAACCATCAGATCTCATGAGAACTCACTATCACAAGAAAAGCATGGGGGAAACTACCCCATGATCCAATCACCTCCCACTAGGTCCCTCCCTTGACACTTGGGGATTATTACAATTCAAGATCAGATTTGGTTGGAGACACAGAGCCAAACCACATCATTCTGCCCTGGCCTCTCCCAAATTTCATGTACTTCTAACATTTCAAAACACAACCATGTCTTCCCAACAGTGCCCCAGAGTCTTAACTCATTCCAGCATTAACTCAAAATTACAAGCCAAAGTCTCATCTGAGTAAAGGCAAGTTCCTTCTGCCTATGAGTCTGTAAAATCAAAAACCAATTAGTTATTTTCAAGATACACTGGTGTTACAAGCATTGGGTAAATGCTCCCATTCCAAAAGGGAGAAATTGGCCAAAACAGAGGGGCTACAGGCCCCACGCAAGCCTGAAATCCAGCAGGGCAGCCATTAAATCTTAAAGCTCCAAAATAATCTTTGACTCCATGTCTCACATCCAGGGCATGCTGATGTAAGAAGTGGGCTCCCAAGGCCTTTGGTAGCCCTGCCCCTGTGGCTCTGCAGAGTACAGCCCCATGGTTGCTTTTACAGGCTGGCATTGAATGCCTGTGGCTTTTCCAGGCACATGGTGCAAACTGTCGGTGGATCTACCATTCTGGGGTCTGAAGGGCAGTGGCCCTCTTCTCACAGTTCCACTAGGCTCCCCATTGGGAACTCTGTGTGGGGGCTCTAACCCCATATTTCCCATCTGCATTGCCCTAGTAGAGGATCTCCATGAGGGCTTCACCCCTGCAGCAGACTTCTGCCTGGACATCCAGGTGTTTCCATATAGCCTCTGAAATGTAGGAGGAGGTTGTCTCTTTTTTTTTTTTTTTTTTTTTGAAATGGAGTCTTGCTCTGTCACCCAGACTGGAGTGCAGTGGTGCTATCTTGGCTCACTGCAAGCTCTGCCTCCTGGGTTCACGCTATTCTCCTGCCTCAGCCTCCCCAGCAGCTGGGACACAGGTGCACGCCACCACACCCGGCTAATTTTTTTTGTATTTTTAATACAGACAGGGTTTCACCATGTTAGCCAGGATGGTCTCGATCTCCTGACCTTGTGATCCACCCGCCTTGGCCTCCCAAAGTGCTGGGATTACAGGCGTGAGCCACCGCACCCGGCCGGACGAGGTTTTCAAACCTCAACTCTTGTTTTCTGCACACCTGCATGCCCAACACCATGGGGAAGCCTCCAATGCTTGGGGCTTGCACCCTCTGAAGCAATGGCCAGAGCTGTGCCTTGGCCCCTTTTAGCCATGGCTGGAGCTGGAGTGCCTGGGACACAGGGCACCATGTCCCGAGGCTGCACAGAACAGCAGGGCCCAGGAAACCATTTTTCCCTCTTAGGCCTCTGGGCCTATGCTGGGAGGGGCTACTGTAAAGATCTCTGAAATGCCCTCAAGACATTCTCCCCATTGTCTTGGCTATTAACATTTGGCTTCTCATTACTTATGCAAATTTCTGCAGCTTGTGGCTTGAATTTCTCCCCAGAAAATGGGTTTTTCTTTTCTACTGCATGGTCAGGCTGCAAATTGTCCAAACTTTTATGCTCTGCTTCCCTTTTAAACATAAGTCCCACTTTCACATCATCTCTCTGTGAATGCATATGACCATATGCTTTCAGAAAAAGCCATCTTGAATGCTTTGTTGCTTAGAAGTTTCTTCTGTCAGACACCCTAAATCACCCCTCTCAAGTTCAAAGTTCTGCAGATCTCTAGGACAGGGACAAAATGCCACCAGTCTCTCTGCTAAAGCACAGTAGAGTGACCTTTGCTCCAGTTCCCAATAAGTTCCTCATCTCCATCTGAGACCACCTCAGCCTGGACTTCATTGTCCATATCTCTATCAGCATTTTGGTCAAAACCATTCAACTCTCTAAGAAGTTCCAAACTGTCTGACATCTTCCTGTCTTCTTCTGACCCCTCCAAACTGTTCCAACCTCTGCCTATTAACCAGTTCCAAAGTTGTTTCCACATTTTCAGGTATCTTTGTAGCAATGCCCCCCTCCTGGTACCAGTTTTCTATATTAGTCCATTTTCACACTGCTATAAAGAACCACCTGAGACTGGGTAATTTATAAAGAAAAGAGGTCTAATTGACTGACAGTTCCTTGTGGCTGGGGAGGCCTCAGGAAACTTACAATCACAGCGCAAGGTGAAGGGGAAGCAAGGCACATCTTATGTGGCAGCAGGAGAGAAAGCGAACAAGTGGGGGAACTGCTGAACACTTTTTAACTATCAGAGCTCGTGAGAAACCACTAACTATCATGAGAACAGCATGGGGAAAACTGCCCCCATGATCCAATCACCTCCCTCCAGGTCCCTCCTTCAACACGTGGGGATTACAATTCAAGATGAGATTTGGGTGGGGACATAGAGCCAAACCATATCAATCACATTAGAGCAAAGCCTGTAACTGACAAGCCTCACCCCCATCCACATAGCTTCCAAGAGCTTTTTAATATCTCACTCATATCGAAGACAACACAGGATTATGAAGCATCTGAAGAAAGAAAAGGGCAAAGCAAACAGAAGAAAAGCAACTTGGAGGCAACAGACTATGAAGAGAGAAGAGATCTTAAAAAAAAATTATCAGAGATAAACTATTTTTAAAAAGAACACCATAAGAAGAAAAAAGAGCTTGTGGAAGTAAAAAATAGGAAAGCAGGAGTTTTAAAAACAGGTTGAGAGATTAAAATTAAGTAAGTCTCCCAAGAAAATGTAACAAAAAGAGTAAGAGATGAAAAATGTGAGAGAAAAGAAAATTAGAGGATGAGACCCAGAAATTCTACACCTGAATAATAATAGAGTTCCACAAAGAAAAAACAGAGAAAAAAAATGGAGAGGAAGAAAGCCAAAGAAATAAAACAAGGAAATATCCCAGACCTGAAGGATGAGATTCCAGATTCAAAGGACTCACAGAGTGGCCCAACACATACTAAAACACATTACCTGAAATTTCAAAACACTGGGGACAAAGAGAAAATTCTAAAAAGCTTCCAAAGGCAGAGAGAAGAAGTAGTCAAAAGATTAAGTCTCAGAATAACATTAGATTTACCAACAGCAACACTGGATGCTAAAAGACAATGGAGCAAAGCCTCCAAAATTCTGTGGGAAAATAATTTCAAACCCAGCCAAACAAATTATCAATGAAGTATAAGGGCCATTTTAAAATTTTTGCTTCCCATATTCTGTTTCCAGATAGTACAGGGAATATGTGCTCTGATTTAAAAAAAAAAAAAAAGAAAAAGAAAAAGCCAAGAAATAAGAAAATATGAAAGACAAGAAACACGAGTCCCAACATGAGAGAGAGATGACAGATGCCCCAGCTGATGGTGAAAGAGCACAGGAGAGCAGCTTCACAGTAGGCCAAGAGGTTCACAAATCCAGACTACAGCATGTCGCAAGTTCTGGAAGAAGTTTCGTCAAGAAGACCAAAAGGGATAGAATGTCCAATCTGCTTTCATGTATTGAGAGGAGATTCAGACAGCTTGGGAAGAGTCTGGGGGTAAATTAGTAAGCACATAGAAAACTAAACAAGAGAAAAGATGGAACAATTATTAACTTCAGAGAAAACAAAAAGTTTGTACTGGAAAGGAAAAACAATCCCAATATGCTACATGAGTCAGCTGACAATAGTGTTTCTATGATCATAATAGCATAAAACTAGATACTGAGTTACCCAAAATTACAAATCCCTATGCTGTGAAAATAAGGGGATAGGAAGTATGTGTATACACATCCCACATATGTGGTGGGATGTAAAGTACTGCTGAATTCTAATCTTCTACAGTGAGATGTCAATAGCTAATGACTAAAGCAAAAAAATCAAGATGCAGTAAGGTAAGTATCTAATTTAGAGATACGGGGGTATATAACAAAAGATTTAGGAGCTGAAAGTGAGAAGTGGGAAATAAGATGATGAGGAAGTTGCTGTTTTTCCTAACAAGCCTTATAGAACTGTCTGATTCTTTAAACTATATGCATGTATAACCTTGGTAAATATATAAACTAAATTAAAAGAAGTGCTGTAGGAACAGAGGTGGAAGCAACCAACTCTGAATGGAAAGGAAAAAGGACTGAGAAGGTTTCACAGAAAACCATCCTCCTTGGATCTTAAAAGAAGAATTTGCCAGGCAAAAAAATGGTAGTGGGAACAGCATGGATAAAGGCACAAAAGAATGAAAGACTAAGGGTTCAGGGAGCAATGAGGAGTTTAGCAGGAAGTATGTCAGGGTGGGTGGTGAGAGAAGAGGCTGGAGAGGACAGTTCTGTCTGACAGTGAAGGACCCAGAATGATATAGGACATAGGACTTAATCCTGCATCCTTTTCAGACAGGACCATTGATTAGGTTCTGCCTCAATCCCATCTACAGAGAAGGCTGGCCATCATTCTTGAGCATGGGCTCAAGTCAACACCTCAGTAGAGGAGGAACACACTCAGCCTTAATTTACCTCAGGAAGGGAGGATGAGACGTTACTTCATTTGCTGGTCTCACCAAAAATATCTCTGAGACCAAAACAGGAGAGAATATGCCTTACTTTTCATTATGGAGGGCTCTGGGAGAAATCATACCCACAGCCCAGCCTACCTACCCGAAATGTAGCTTGTATGTTTATTCTGTTTGTCCAGAGCAACCAGCTGCTCATGCAGTTCTTTTCCAATCCCATTTTCAAAACTCTTGCAAAATTGTTCTGTTTTCCTAAAACATTCAAGAAAAGACAAAATCAAACCATGGTAGGGAATACATGATTTTTAGGTTCATGGCGAGGAACTCATAATAGAGTTTTGGGTCCCCAACAGCATAGCCCTAAAACCTGGAATGAGATCAGAAAGTACCTCTAACCAGAACAGGAATCAATCTAAAATTGATAATCTAGACTACCTTCTTAAAATGAATGATTAGGAAAATCAATCAACATCTCACAAAATAATCCATATCCTAGGAGGCAGTTTGGCATGGAGAAAAGGACACAAGCTCTGGAGTCAACAGAAGTTAAGTCTGAATCCTAGCTCTGTTGCTTTTCAAACTGTGTGATCTTGGATAAGTTACTTGATCTGAGTCTCGGTTTCTTGATGTGTAAAATGGATAATAATACCACTTTACAAGATTAAAAATATTTATAAAGCTAAGGATTTAGAATATCCTAAAACATAATACTCAATAACTGGTAGCTATTACCATATCAAGAGAAACTTTAAATGACTAATAACAAATATTTGAAAACAGAGGCCTAGATTATGGATAATTCATCTGCTTCTCCATCACTGTCCAGTGAAGAGTTCTGTGATTCCAACAACAATGCCAGTTACCTGTACAGAAAAATTTCCATTATGGAAAAAGAGTACTACACTAGGCTATAAGAGCTTAATGCAATCCACTTTTTGACAATATTTGATATTATTTTCCAATTCCATGCTGTATTTGCTTCCTAGGACTGCTATAACAAAACACCACAAACTGGGTGGCTGAAAACAACAGAAATTTATTCTCTCACAGTTCTGGAAGCTTTAAGGACAAAATCCAGGTGTCAGTAGGACTATATCTTCTCTGAAGACTGGGGAAGAATCTGTTGCATGGCTTTCTCTTAGATTCTGGTGTTGCCAGCAATCCCTGGCATGCCTTGGCTTGTTGACACAGGCAGAGGACACAATCTCTGCCTGTGTCCTCACACCGCTGTCTCTGTGTCTTCTTACAAGGACACCAGTCATATTTAATTAAGGACCCACAATACTCCAGTAGGACCTCATCTTAACTAATTACATCTGCCACAACCCTAATTCCAAATAAGATCATATACTAAATTTCATGAAAAAGGGCATAAATTTTGGAGGCATGCTATCCAACTCAATAAACATGCTCACGATGCAGACTTCTGGTCTGCCGTATGGTCTCCTCAATGGACCTCCCTTCCAAGGGTACATGCTCTCTATAAATGACCAGGACCAGCGAGCCTCCCAGGTACACCTGCTAAGGGAAAGTACACATTTGGCATTCTGGCTTATAAACTATCTCCTGTTGAGCCTGTTTAGAGGAACTCTCGGGGCTTGGTCAGTCCTTCATGAATGAAAATCTATTTCCTGAACTTGCAGATGTACAACTAGGTTCTGGGTTCCTGGAGACCCAGCCACGTCACAGACATTCCCTGAAGCTTGGTCCACCACTACTTGCCAGCCTGTCTTGAACCACCCCAACTATGCTCACCCAAGGTTCTCAGTGTTTACCTGAACTGGCCATCATTCAAGAGAGGCTTCTGTGCACTGAGGTATCTCCTAATGGTGTCTTCAAGTTTGGGAATAGGCAGCCTGGGGAGAAAGCAGGGTCAGTGTAAGGCTGACAGTATATGGAAGAGGTTAATTAGCTTTACAAGCTAATGAACTGATTACTAGATCATTAATTTCCTCCCCCAAAACCAATAATCAGAAGCGACTGACAAATCAGAATCAATGGGTTTACTAATGCCAAGTATATCAATGGTAACTCTACTTTTAAGTAAAATAACAACTAAATCTTTAAGTAAAATACAAATATAATTATTTTAAATAACAATAATAGATTCAAAATGGGGAAGCAGAAGCTGCCCCAAGAATTCCTGTTTTCTGGTCACAATGATAACACCTGTGCTAACACTGTATTGGCCCTGATTTAATTCTACCCTTAGTTTGAACAACTGCATTTTTCTCCCCTAGGATAAAATGAAAAGGTTCTATTTTTTAAATTTTCTTCTGCATTTTACAACAAATAATTATATAAGAGTGAAACACAGATCTGTCCAAGGGCCAGCCATATATGGGGGCTACAGTCACTAAAAGGTAGGAATCGACCAGTGAGCCATGCCCAGATACCAGGAACGCCATTAGGAAGAACCAAATAGTCCCTGTGCTTAAATAACAGGAACAGCAATTTGCCTACTTATCATTCTGTCTACTAGTGATTCCCAAAGATGGCTATGGTGATGAAGTTACTGGCTTATTGTGAAATGAAAACACATGGACAGTAAAGTGAGGTGTATTTTCTCTTTCAATTCATTGGTTTTATTGAAGGAAATATCCCCTAATAGCAAAACAATCAGAGTTTGTTAGGCTGCCTCTACCAACTCAAAATTAACACTGATATGCAAAATACTGAAATGTATCAGTCATTTAGGAAAACTGAAACATGATACATAAAGCAGTTTAAAAGCCTAATATAAGATATACTGTGGTTCATCAGTTTATTTGTAATGCATGTTTATCCATAATATGACAAAAATAAATCAATTATTTACTGCCATTATGGACTTAGACTGCACTAAGTACCCATTTACAACACTTTAACACCACAGATCCCCTTACATTCACTGACTTACTCAGAAAAATTCCAAATACTATCTCAGCTACCTCATAATTCCAGTTGCCTACATATGTTTAAGATTTAGTTTTATTACAGTAGGAATATTCATGAAAGTTTACCTTCTTCCTTTTAAACAAAATTCTAGATTAGAGACAATGGCAATTTGATTTAAAAAAGTCCTACTTAAAAATTTCTGGAGTGAAGCTGGGCACGGTGGTTCACACCTGTAATCCCAGCACTTTGGGAGGCCGAGGCAGGCAGATTGCTCGAGTCCAGGAGTTCAAGACCAGCCTGGGCAACATGGCGAAACCCTGTCTCTATAAAAGATACAAAAAATCAGCCAGGCATGATGGTGCATGCCTGTGGTCCCAGATGGGAGGCCAAGAGCAGATCACTTGAGGTCAGGAGATTGAGACCAGCCTGGCCAACATGGTGAAACTCCATCTCTACTAAAAATACAAAAATTAGCTGGGTGTGGTGGCACATGCTTGTAATCCCAGCTACTTGGGAGGCTGAGGCGGGAGGATCCTTTGAACCCGGGAGGCAGAAGTTGCAGTGAGCCGAGATAGGGCCACTGCACTCCAGCCTGGGCAACAGAGCGAGACTGTCTCAAAAAAACCAAAATAAAACTGTGGCTCAATGAAGTGAACAGAATTGCCCCAAATTATAGCTAAAGACTTGCAGATCCAGAATCTGCAACTACATTCTACCAGACCTCAAAGTCAGGGCTTTTCACCAAGTGTGACATCAATGAGTGAGTGTGAAAGATTATACATTTTACCAGTCTAGAATCTGAGCGACAGAAGGAATCTCATCTCTCATCTAACTCCCAATTTACAAATAAGGTAATGGAGGTCTGGGGGAGGTTGGTTGCTTAAGGTTATGCGTAGGTGACTAGTGGTACTATTTGAACTGGAGTTTGAATTGGTACCTCCAGATTCCTACAGACTGTGCTATGGATGGGGTTGGAATAAATAATCTTGAATATTCTTTCCAGCTTTCCAATTCTAAAGTGCAGAAAATCCCTCTGATCTTAAACCTGGGTGGGGCCCAGGCCTGCCTGAAAGTCAGTGACCATCTGACTCTGAACTTGGCAAGTGAAGACAGGTTCTGTCAGTCCTCACCTTTCACCCATATACTGGCTCAGCTCATACACACAGGTTGACAGGGTGGAAGCATGTACCAGGCTTATGCCACAGGCACAAAGCCCCTTTTTCTTCCTCCCTCCTGCCACGTGTAGATAATCTCATTTTCATGTCTTAGATGTTTGCACAAAATGTAATTTCACAAGAATCACTCGATCCTCCTGAGAGGGTGAGGGTATGTAGTGATGACGTTGGGTTAAGTGGTCCCAGATGCAGAGAAAAACAACCCAGCAGCTCGGGTGAGGCCTGTGACACAATGTTCCACACATGGGGAAGAAGCCTGGCCTCTAGCTCTTGGAGTGTGGGGAATCCCTGAGGGCAGTTTGGTGAGAAATAAGGTGAGAAGGGTCTTTGAGACAAATTTTGAACTTGGCTCCAGGAACTGAGTTACTCACTCAGTAAGTTAGAAGTTAGTTTAGGTTTGGTTTAGAGGGTGAAGAAAATTTCTAATATTGAAGAAGGAGATCTGGCAACTCAGACGAAAGCGGAGTTCGAAGGCTGGAAGAACTGGAAGCTGGATTTAAGAAAGTACTGGGGGAGGGAAGGGGAAGAGGATTTACTAGGGCTCTTTTCAGAGGGGAAGTCGATTCTGGGTGAAGTGTTTCGAAGGCAGGGTAGCCAGTGGTGAGGAGGAGAAGAGAAATTTGGGTGGACCCTGGATCTGAGTATGATGGAGTGTGGATGGGGTACTGAGGGTGGTGTCTAGAATTCTGTGAGGGTGAGCTGCACTTACAAGGGGTACTGTGGGTGAGGAAGGATATTTTGAGGGGAGGAACCTGTTGAGGAGGGCTTGGAGAGAGTGAAAGGTTTCCGGGTGAACACTGGATTTAGGAGATTAAAGATTTAAAAACATGGGGGAGGGTCAGTTGAGGACAAGGGTGAACACTTCAGGGCTGTGCTTGTGGGGGCTCATGGGGGGTGAAAGAACAGAGTACTGGAGAAATGGGAGGTGGGGCTGAGGGTCCTGAGTGACAGGGGTGAAGGCGGTGCTGGGAGAAGTTAAGGAATGGTAACCATGATGTATTAGGAATCAGCCTACCCATATTCCGGGTAGGAATGTGAGGCAGTCATTAAAGTACTTCAGGAGACACCATAGTCGAGGGATTACAGCGGCGCTGGAAATATGCAGGTCTGGCATTTTTCAGGGAGAAGAGGACTCAGGATAGCTGGCTGGAAGTTAGGTTAAAGGAGAGGGAATCTGAGAAGCGTTCAAGATGGAGAATCTGAGATAGCATCGAGGGGTTCTGGAAGAGAATTTGAGGGTTCTGAGGTTCCTGTGCTAGGAGATTGTGAAAAGTCCCAAGACTTCCAGATTAGGGGCTGTGGCAGCCTCCATGGTAGGGGCTTGGGGGCGGAAACGGGTTCACTAGAGGAGTCATGAGTGACTGCAGTCAGGTTGGGGCCGATCCTGGGACGGCGGCGGGCGGCGGGGACCCGGAGGCCAGGCTCACCTGGGCAGGCTGTCCTGGTAGTGCATGGTGGGCACGATGCTGCGCTGCAGGTACTGGCCGGGCCCGGAGCCGGCGCTGAGGGGCCGACTGGGGGCTCCCGGACCAACCGCGGGGCCCCGGGGCCAGGCGCGCAGCAGCAGGCGGGGCACCATCGTCCCGGGAGCCTGCGGCGGCGAGAACGCGGCAAGTGGGGAGTTCTGGAGTCTAAACACAAGGCCGCCGCCGCCGTTAGCGCCCAAGACACTGCGTCAGGACTCCTGAGGCACTTCTCCGCCCGCAGGCCACTTCCGGCCCCTGTAAGGCCATCGGCTCCGCCCCGGACTGGCTCCTTCCGGGCAGGGGCCGCTCACTGACAGGCCCCGCCCACTAGTAGGCCCCGCCCGGAAGGGGGCCCCAGCCTCCGCGCTGCTCGTCTCCCTTCCCTTCCCTAGGAGGCGGGAAACCGAGCGCCGCAGCCGCTCCTTCCCCTTTTTTGGAGCAAGACAGAAACTGGAGTTGGAAAAAAAAAAGAAAAGCTAAGAAACGTGATTGGAATCTGATAACCCAAAATTTGATCCAGGCTCCATCCTTGCGAGACTGTGGACTAAATTTTAAACCTCTATTTCCTCACCTAAGAAGTAGATAGATCGTAATGATTCAAAGTACCTCCCAAAATTCTAGATATGAGATAAAGATAACATGTTATGCACAGTGCATGGTGCTTAATAGGAAAGCAGTAAACGGTAACGGATGTTACTGTTGTTAGTAATCCGTGCTGAAGGTCATTGACATATAATGACCCTGAACCCTGCACAGCTACTGCCCTGCCAGCTCACCTGAGTGGATGGATATTAGAAAGGATTTGTGCAGGAGTTGGAAACCTGGAGTTTCCCGCTGGCCACCACTTCAGTGCAGAAAGCCCCTTCCGAGCGGAATCCCCTCTGCCTGAACATCCATTCTTGGCTTGAGCATTTCCAAAAACAAGAAGCTCACTGCTAAGAGGAAAGAAACCCTTGTCCTCCGGCTCTAGGAAGTCTTCCGTGTTCAGTCTATTGGAAGAGGCTTCCTGTCACCACAGACCACCTCCAAGATTCCTTCCAACTCCTGACTCTAAGATTCCGCTACTTGAACATAGATCTATCATCCCTCATCCATCACAAAACAGCTGCAGAACAGCCCACCACGCCCCAATCCCTGATCTTAGAAGTAGCTGCAGGATTAAGTAGGCTCTACTCCCATTTTACAGAAGAAGACAGGGAGTTACCAAAAGACACACAATTATGCTGCCTAGCTTGAGGCACAACAGAATTCCATTTTGGGAACAGAACTGCCCTTTAGCCGTTTGGGGCAGCCAAGTACATTCTGTCTGTTCCATAATTGGCTAAGCAGAGCCAGAAGCTGGAGCACACCAGAAAGAGTACTGGATTGGGAGTCAGGAGACCGGACTTTTAGTTTCAGCTCTTTGTTATCTAGTTAGGTGACCTCGGATTGAACAGGAAGATCACTAACCAGCTCTGGCACTCATTCAGTGGTGATCACAAATGCTTAACCCATTTCCCGTTTAGAAAAAAACAGCGCAGCTTGCTGCCAGCTCTTATTTCTTAGGGCAAATGGGAAATGGCTTAAGAACTAAGCATGAAATTCAGAAACACTGAATATCGAATCCTCCTCTCTTGAGGGGAGAAAAGGCCCAACTGGCCCAACTCCAAAACATCGGTGCCATTTGCCTGTAGTGTATAAGGCCAGAGGGAGAATATAAAACTCTTTCTGAAAATGAGCCATCTCCTCTAAATCCTGATCATTTTCAGAGCCTTGATACCCGAGGCAAATATCGAGATCTGTGTAGTGCTAAGGGGATCAGAGGACCAGGAAGAAATAGTGGGCCCAGTAGAAAAGCAGCGGCTCTATTCTAGAGACAGAGGGCCAAAAGATTGAGCCCATCCAATCTAACAGCCAAAAGAGGGACGTGAACACCTTTGGTGAGTGCATGGCCAATGGGAGCAACTCTAAGCCTTTAGGCTGGTGTCCAAGGCCTTCTGAATTCTGACCCCTACCTACTTCTCCAGCTCCCATCATGTCACCCCAAAATACTCTATGCCAGGGGTGTCCAATCTTTTGACTTCCCTGAGCCACACTGGAAGAAGAATTGTCTTGGGCCACACATAAAATACACTAATACTAATGATAGCTAATAAGCAAAAACAAAACAAAATTGTAAAAATATCTCATATTTTAATAAAGTTTACTAATTTGTGTTGGCCTCATTCAAAGCCATCCTGAGCTGTGGGTTGGACAAGCTTGCTCTATGCTGTAGTAACACTGAACCACTTCTCATTCCCATCCTTTTCCTTACTCTGCGACTTATTTATTTATTTATTTTAGCTGTCTCTGCTGCCTGGAATGTTCTTTCCATGCATCTCTGCCTAGTAAACTCTTACTTGTCCTTCAAACCCTATTTCAAAACTCACCTCTTTGAAGTCTTCCTCAATCCTCATCCTTCTTCCTCACTGCAAGAATGAATCCCTCCCACTGTGATTTTACAGCACTTTTTACATTCATTTACAGTTATGTACATGAAACACAACTGTATTAGGGCTTTTAAAATAATCAGCTATTTAATTACCAATTCATCTCTCACAATAAATTTTGAGGTCTTTGGGCAGGGACCTTGTTTCCACTGTGTGTCCACTGTGTCTAGCACAGGCCTACTGTGGGGAGGTGCTTTGCTTCCTTTTCCTGGGGATGGCCCTGGGGTCTGGATCACATTAAGAATAACCATGAGCTGGTAGTCCAAAAAGTCCATATATTGCTGTGTAAGGGTCAAGAAAGTTCCTCTACTTAGAGAAAGATCCTGAAGAATACATTGTTTCTATTGAACTAATCCCCAGAGTTCTGCTCTGTTTTGAATTAACTATGAAAAAGCAGTACATGATGGCCAGGTTAAAGTCATATTCATCTTCAAAATCAAAGTTCTGAAAAACAATGAACTTTAACTGGCTAGCAGTAGAGTTCACATTTCAACAAAAAAGAGGTCCAGTTGGGTAAGTATGACCAAAGAAAACAAATGTGACCACCCAAATATTCAAAGAAATGTCAGGAACTAGTACCTAGAGTTGGCCTGGCAGTCCCAAGTTCTCAGGTTCTATTGGAGCTTACCTGGACTAAACAGTGCTTGAAATGAGGAAATTCATAGGCAAGACCTTGAAAAGCCCTGCCTATTTAATGGGATTTGTTAAAATGAACTCTAACCCTTTTATAAATATTGAGTATGTGAGAAAGTATTTAAATGCAAAAAAGTGAAACCAGAGTATTAAAAAAATGCTCTCTCTGCCCCATAAAGGAACTTTTAAAACATACCTGTGGACACATTAGATATTGTAACTAAACCAATCAATGAGAAATTCATGGTATGTGGGAAAAAAATCTGTTCCTTTTAACTTTACAAGGAATCTGATGTTTCGTTTTTGAAGCATTGCTCAGAACTGCTGGAGAAAAAGAATCGATGTACAGAGCATGAAGAACTTATTGCATGAGGGTCTACGGGGAGTGACAAATACAGTGTACTTTTGAAGGATCCAGAGGACCAAATTTATGCATCTCAAACATGGTCCTGGTCATCTGGGCTGGCAGGTTTCTGGGCTCCTGGTTCCAAGGATGCAATGGAGAATGGGGGTTGGGGAGGAGGTAGAGACTTGACCCATAGCTAACATCTTCTGGGGAAGGGCCCTAGAGCAGGAAGGCCCTTGCCCCTCTCTGGCCCCTCTGGCAATAGATTCCTGACTTCTGTTGCACTCCTGTATGCATTTAGCTCTTCTGAAGTGAGGAAGGCTAAGCTCAACTCCAGCACCCTCCAACTGTCACCATTTTCACTGTGGATTTTTCTTGTGGAGGTAGGCCTCACCCACCTAAAGCCCCAAGCCAGTAGCCAGGTAGAAGAAGGGAGGACAACTTTTAAACTCTAAAATAACAGCCTGGTCCAGCTCCTAGGTGCAATGGGATTATTGTAAAAGACCAGTTTCCAGTGGAAAGTGGAACTTTGCTTCCTCACTGGGTCCTTAGGTTCCAGTTTTCTTTATGCCCCTTTGCCAATTTCATTGAAGGAAAGAACTTTAATGGGGCTGTGTGTGTGTGTGTGTGTGTGTGTGTGTGTGTGTGTGTTCTGGGTTAGTGAAAATGTCACCAAATTCAGCAACATAGAAACCCCAGTCAAAAAAATTTAAGATTGTAGAAGAAATGGACAAATGATGACAAAAGGAGCTGAAATCAAGAGTTTGGTATTTTAGCTAGGCACAGTCCTAGCTACTTGGGAGGCTAAGGCAGGAGGATAGCTTGAGCCCAGGAGGATCCCTCAAATTTGAGGCTGCAGTGAGTGAGCTATGATCATGCTCCTCTAGCCTGGGTGACAGAGTGAGACCCCATCACACACACACACACACACACACACACACACACACACACACACACACACACACACACAGAGATAATACAGGCAGGTGACACGGTTTGGATCATGGGGGCAGATTTCCCCCTTGCTGTTCTCTTGATAGTGAGTGAGTTCTCATGAGATCTGGTTGTTTAAAGTGTGTAGCACCTCCTCCTTCACTCTCTCTCCTTCCTCCTCCAGCCATGTAAGACATGCCTGCTTCCCCTTCATCTTCTGCCGTGATTGTAAGTTTCCTGAGGCCTCCCCAGCCATGCTTCCTGTACAGCCTGTGGAACCATGAGTCAATTAAACCTCTTTTCTTTTCTTTTTTCCTTTCCTTTCTTTTCTTTTCTTCTTTCTTTTTTTCTTTTTCTTTTTCTTTTTCTTTTTTTTCTTTTTTTTTTTTTTTTTTTTGATATGGTCTCACTGTCTTGCCCAGGCTGGAGTGCAGTGGTGGGATCTTGGCTCACTGCAACCTCTGCCTCCCAGGTTCAAGTGATTCTCCTGCCTAAGCCTTCTGAGTAGCTGGGATTGCAGGCGCAGGCCACCACATCTGGCTAATTCTTGTATTTTTAGTAGAGACTGGGTTTCACCATGTTGGCCAGGCTGGTCTCGAACTCCTGACCTCAGGTGATCTGCCCACCTCATCCTCCCAAAGTGCTTTGATTACAGGCATGAGCCACCATGCCTGGCTCTATCTCTTTTCTTTATAAATTACCCAGTCTCAGGTAGTTCTTTATAGCAATGTGAGAATGAGCTAATACAGGGGGATAAGATGATTATTCAGCCTCTTCACATGTGAAAGGGGATGAAAAAGTCTGGCCTCCAGGGACCCTGGCTGTCTGACTGAGATGCCTCTTTCTCCACTCCTGGAAAGGATTCCTTGGAGGAGAAGGGAACCCAGCTGGGGATGAGGACCTGAGCTAAGGTATCTGCTCCTTTTTTTCCCCGTCCCCATCTGTCCTCATGTCCCCTAGCCCATTTGGTCAGGGCCTAACTGATGATGGACTTGTTATTTATTTATTTATTTTTTATTAAGACGGAGTCTTGGTCTGTCACCCAGGCTGGAGTGCAGTGGTGTGATCTCGGCTCACTGCAACCTCTGCCACCCAGGTTCAAGTGATTCTCATGCCTCAGCCTCCCGAGTAGCTGGGACTACAGGTGTGTGCCACCAACCCAGCTAATTTTTTTTTTTTTTTTTGTATTTTTAGTAGAGACAGGATTTACCATGTTGGCCAGGCTGGTCTTGAACTCTTGAGCTCGGGTGATCCGCCTTCCTCGGCCTCCCAAAGTGCTGGGATTACTGGCGTGAGCCATTGTGCCCGGCCTGGACATGTTATTTAAAACAGCAAGAACCTTTCCCCAGCAGTCTGTGGTGCCTTGGTTGAGTTTCTGGATGGTCCTGTTGGCATAGCAGGTGGCATTAGAGTTAGGTGTCAACCTGTACTGAGTATGCAAGCCCAAAGCAATAGGCACCAATGGCAGGAAAGCCCCCACCTTCCAGGTCAGGCTGGCCAGCTCCCTTGTGGTGAGGATTCTGTGATCCATCTGGACATAGGCTGAGATGAAGAAGGCTGTGTAATCAGCACCCTTAAGAGGCAGCTCAGGTCTGCAGAGCAAACAATATCTGTGTAATTCCTGACCTGTGGGTAGAAAGAACAGAAGAAGATGTTGGATCTCAGGGGACTTTCCTCAGGAACCAGCCCCAGACTTCCTTTCCAGAGTGATCTCTCATTTCTCTCCTTCAGGACCCATTTCCTCTAGCCAGGCTGTCTTTTCACTCTCCCTGGAGTATCCCACTCTCTGGCTTCCAAAATTTGGGCATACTTTTCTCATCACCTGGAATACCGTTTCTATCTCCTTCTTGCTTGTACAACTCTTATTTTCCTTTCAAGGCCCACTTCTATCTGCCAATCCCCCAAGCCCTCCCTGACCATTGTGGCTCCCTCGGGAACTGCTCCCTCCTGTCACCTCAGGGCACTTCCCATCAGTCCCCTTCATTTCCCACTCATCTGCATGGCAGTGCCTGAGACATCCTCACATCACAGACTGCATCAGGCCTGAATTCCCGTGGCGGAAGCTCACTTTTTTGTGTATATCTTGTTATCCCCACGTGACGGTGGCCGCTGGGGCTTCTCATACTTTCCCAGCGAGGTACCCCAGCGAGTGAGGAATGGGGAAATGTTCCTTTGGGAGAGTCAAGGGCATAGTCCATATGGCAGTGGTCCCAGACCTTTTTGGCACCAGGGACAATTTTTCCATGGACGGGGGTTGGGGGGTGGGGGTGGTTTTGGGATGAAACTGTTTTGCCTCAGGTCATCAGGCATTAGTTAGATTCTCATAAGGAGCTCGCACCAGCAGGCGGAGCTCAGGAGGTAATGCTGGCTCATGGCTCACCTCCTGCTGTGCGACCCAGATCCTAACACGCCACTGACAGGGGTCTGCAGCCCAGGGGTTGGTGACCCCTGCCATATGGAATGTCTGTGCAGTCACTA